>NW_025791764.1:0-120381 GCF_000001405.40 Homo sapiens | reverse complement strand
GAATTCTTCCATAAACCCCATTTAAATTTCCAGGGTCTTGCTGTTTCCCAATTATAGAGAATCAAATAGAGAATTGGAAAATCCATTTAGATTTATGTTGAAGTCTGGTGATCTGCAGAATTAAGATTTGTATTTGGTTTTTAGTATCTCAAACCTTTGGCAAAAATATGAATTTTTTTTCTTTTTTTCCAGAAAGATAGTATGCTTTTATTTTAGCATAGTCAGGGAAAGGGCATAGATTTTCTTCTGTGTCTTAAATCAAGAAGTTAGGGATTTGAACTTGTCATTCTCTTTCTGTTCATCACCATTCACAGCAGCCACATTCACATGCAGTCCTGCAATTTCTCATGAAATTCAAACATACTGTTGTGTAGTAGAGGCCACTTATCTCCTTAAGCCTTGTCTTTAAAGTGCAAATCACTCAATGTAATCATAAATGATTAATCCTATTTCCATGGACTTCCAAATTCTCATTCCCGGATACAAGCTGGATTTTCTATTTTTACCCCTAACTAGTACAAACATTTGATCTCAGAGTCTTTCCATTTGCTTGCATTTCTGCTTCCTGCCAGCCCTGCTGTTACCAATTGCTGGCCTAGTCAGGCTTAGTTGTAAACAATCTAAACCAACTTTAGCTCACTGAAGTAAAAATGTAATTTATGGATTTTTATCTGAAATTCAGAGGAATTCAGAGAAAGCTATAGAATCCAGGTGCATAAAATCAACAAAAAATGAAGTGAATGCTGACATTCAGAGCCATCTTCAAAATCATACCCTAAAAGCAACCTGGCAAAGCCATCATAAACACAAGACACTGGATGCCATTTCTGGCACTGTTGGCCATGCTTCTTTTGATATCTGGCGGTTGCTGCCCCAACTATAGCTGTGATCACCACCAAACTGGATTTTTAATTCTTTTTACTTCTTTGCATCACTATTGTTGGTAGGTGGAATAATGCTCCCTCAAATATGTTCATACCCTAATCCCCAGAGCCAGTAAATATATTACATTTTTTGGCAAGGCAAGGAGCAATTAAGGTTGCAGCAGGCATTAAGGTTGCTTACCAACTGACCTTGAAATGGGGAGAGTAGCTTGGAGTATCCATTTGGGCCCAGTGCAATCATTTGGTTCCTTAAAAGTGAAATAGGAAGACAGAAGAGCCAATGTCAGAATGAGACAACGTGAGAAAGACTTGACCAAATATTTCTGGCTTTGATGTTGGAACTGGCTCATGAACCAAGGAAGCTGGGCAGCCTCTAGAAGCTGGAAAAGGGAACACACAGTTTCTCCCTAGTGTCTCTAGAAAGGAAGACAACCTTGTTTGACACTTGCATTTGAGTCCAGTAAGACTCAGTTTAGACTTTTGATGTTCAGAAGTGTAAGACAAGAAATCTGTGTGGTTTTAAGTCACTAAATTTATGGTAACTTGCTACAGCAGTAATATGAAGTGAATACAATTATCCCCAGATTGAGACCTTCAGGTGTGTGTCTCTGATTTGCCAAGCTCAGGTCACATGGCCACTTGCCTACACCCTAACTCAAGACAGGTTAGGAAAGCAACTGTCTATGGCCTCTAACCTCAACCAAGACTCATCTAACTGTAACTTCCCTGCAATGAGATAGGGCTTTAGATACTTGGTAGCAAATAAATAAACAAATAGGCAAACAAGTAATTTTAACTCGTGTGTTCATTAAACTGAGTATTGGGATCAATAACACACAATAAGTTAGAGCTATATATAATGAAATGAACTACTCTCTGTGATACATTAAGTTACAAATACAGGAGGCAGAACATTGTGTTCCAGATATCTTTCTTGGTCTAAAATAAAACTCCAAGTATCTAATTTATTAATTCATACTATTGATTTGAGTTCTGTCTCTCTCTCTCTATACATATATATATATATATATATATATATATATATATATTTGTGTGTGTGTGTATACATATATGTATGTGTATATATATGTATATGTAGGAAGACAGAGATACATATGCATATATATGCAGTATCTCAGGTTCTCATCATTTCTTGTGGTGAGAATACTTACTCTCTTCGCAATTTTCAAAAATATAATACATTGTTATTGACTGTGGTCACCACGTTTCACAATAGATCTCTTGAGCTTATAACTTCTATCTTACTGCAATTTTGTATCCATAGACTAAAATCTCCCAACCCCACCCCACCTTCTGCCCTTGGAAACCACCATTCTATTCTTCATCAATGAATTCAACTCTTTTAGATTCCACATAGAAGTGAGATCATGTGGTACTTGTCAATTTTTCTTAATATTAATATATTTCAATAGACCCGTATTACAATTACTTTCTGATAAACTATCAACATCTTCCTCCCTTATTATTCCCAGTTTGGGAATACCTTGATTTACTGTGTTACCATTTCCAAGGATTGACCCTTTCAAACAGAATGCCCTCAGTGTCCAGTATGTCCCACAGGGGTTCCTGCAAATATGATCTAAAAATCTGCAGGATTCCTCATTGAGCATTATCTCTACTCTGAATATATGTTATATTATTTTATATTCTTAAAAATTATTGCATTATTAATCTATAGAGTTAGAATTCAATATACTTTTTCAAGATTACTGGAGTTCCTTAATGTAGACGTGCATTTTTTAAATCTTTGAAAAGTGACAAAAAACAGGAGAATTTTAATATGATATTTTATTATGGGTGTCTGTAAGGAAAAAAAAGATCAACAACCACATACAAGCTTACAAAGTTAAATTTCAACACATTCTCTATGCTAGTGTGACAAAAGCAGCCCCATAATTTGGTTTTTATTGTTGACCTTTACAGGATGAAGGAGGAGAATCCCCTGTGGCATGCCAATGAATCTTTCTGATGGGAGACATGTACAGATTTTGTGCATTTATGTTCTGAATGCAAGTCAACAATTCTGATCTAGAGTTTAAAAGTGAAAGTACATTAGCACCATAACATGCGTCTTTAAAGCCTTCCCAAATATTAGTAATCTTGACCAGCAATGACAAGAAAAAAGAGGAGCACCTTTACAAGCAGTTGATATCCAATATTAAAATAATTGTGGCTTTAAAAATATTTCTTTAAATTCTTGCATTACACTTTTCTTTTTAAACCAATCTTCCAGGAGATTAATCAATGAAATTTATAAGTTTTATCAACGTATAAAATTTTTTTCATCTTCTGGGACTCATAGAATACAATCTGTGTTTCTGACCAGTTGAGGTAGTTAAAATAGGGAGGGCTTTTCTAATTTCGTATTTGACTATTTCAGAAAGAAAGGTTATCTTTTACTGGTGAGCACAGTCATTGCTCTGCAGATGGGCTAGGATTCAAAGAATATAACACAGTGTTGTTATCATAAAGAGTGTTGAAGTTTATTTATTATAGCACCATTGAGACATTTTGAAATTGGAATTGGTAAAAAAATAAAACAAAAAGCATTTGAATTGTATTTGGTGGAACAGCAAAAAAAGAGAAGTATCATTTTTCTTTGTCAAATTATACTGTTTCCAAACATTTTGGAAATAAATAACTGGAATTTTGTCGGTCACTTGCACTGGTTGACAAGATTAGAACAAGAGGAACACATATGGAGTTAAATTTTTTTTGTTGGGATTTCAGATAGAGTTTGGTTTATAAAAAGCAAACAGGGCCAACGTCCACACCAAATTCTTGATCAGGACCACCAATGTCATAGGGTGCAATATCTACAATAGGTAGTCTCACAGCCTTGCGTGTTCGATATTCAAAGACTGTTTTGCTCCATTCCCCAGTGTGTTTCTGTAAAAAAGGACAAAATGTACATGATCATGACATTACAATTACTTAGACAACTCTGACTTAACAAGTTAAAGAAAACCTTTTTACTCTAAAGAAGCATTCATCGTGCCATGTTATTATTCATGTATATGAGACCTGCTCTACTTCAAAGCTGTAATCTTCTTAGTTGATAAACAATATTCTTAAACAAATGCCTTGTAAGGATTCTTAGTAAATGCAGCAGGGCAATTGCTATAGACCAGTGCATCCTCAGGAGGCCTGGTTCCGGCCATTGCTAACAGGTTTATAAATGGTTTATTAAAAAGAGGATAGGTCTCTCACAATGAAATTCGCTAATATTAGAAGTGAGTTTTCCCTTTGTTCACAAATAACAATAACAAATGAGAGATTTGAAGTTAACCTTTAAAATTTTAAAAAACAGATATTTCAAACTGAGTTAATGTGACAGGTATTATTCAAAACATATAGTAACTATCCCAATTATCTGATAAAGTTTGCATTATGGATTTAAATTTTAAATGCTTTTATTTCAACTGGTTTTCATCTGGAGGCTAAGATCCATTTTGTTGCATTTAACATTCCCTGCAATGAATCAGTAGATGCAATGTATGTAATTCATACCAAATGCTATCTTTATTTCATCCTATTAATTTTATTTATTCTATTCAAAATAATTTGCATGATTAAACTAAAATGCTGACTGCTTTATGACCTATATTGAGAAAAATGTTTCCTACCGTGCAACCATCCTCCAGAACTGTGTAGGTGAATTTGCTATTTCCTTCAGCCTTGAATTCACCTTCATTTGACCCCATCAGCTTCAGGGCCTTCTTTACATTTCCACTGGCCTGATCCATGTATGCAATGCTATTTTTGCAGTGATATGTGATGTTCTGGGAAGCTCGGCTGGAGAGAAGTCGAAGGAATGCCAGCTGCACATCAAGGACATCTTCAGGAAGTTCAGGATTGCCGTAGCTAAACTGTAATAGGGAACAAATAAAACAGATCAAACATTTCAGTTGTAACTGCACGCGAGGGATTCATGTAGTATGTGTATGCATATTGTAATATGGGCTGTTTATATATTTTATGTACGAGTATTTTATGTGTGAAAATATTTTTATTGCATGCCATCACTTTCAGTAGCAAAAACTGCAATTATGTTTGTACCAACCTAGTAACTTTGCTTTGTGATGAACATATAGGAAGAATACAAAGGATATAGAGGTGACTTATTTAAAAAAAGGTATATCCTTTCCTACCTGAAAACCACCATCCATGGACTCTCCAAACCAAACGTGTTTCTTCTCAGCACTAGAATCTGTCCACCAGTGTTTCCGTGGAACATTCAAAGGATTGGCACTTATGCATGTTTCCCCAGTTTCCATATTACAGAATACCTTGATAGCATCCAATTTGCATCCTTGGTTAGGGTCAACCCAGTATTCTCCTGAATAGTCACAAAAAAGAATGGGAATTGGTTATAAAATCCAGTAATAAAGTGATTTTGTTTGTTTACCTGTAAAGGCATTCATAATGTTGACTGCTAATGTGTCTGCATTTTATGTATAGAATGATAGAGAAGCTTTTTGATTGAAATTGCTGAGGTAAAAGAGTTAGCTATGACTACAGAAAGCACTGAAATAAAATGCAACATCTTGGTTTCTAATAAGGATGATACACTAAGCTAAGACCTTTTGATTGCTGTATAATATTTGCAAAAGTCTCTCCTTTAAAAAAAGATGATTATTATATGTAATCTTGCTTAATAATATAAGCTGGTTGTCTAACCTAGATTTGTTCCAATAGTTCTAAAGCTGAAATCCCTATGATTGATGCTTGTCTCCTATTTTAAGTAATTTCTAGAAATGACTCCTAGCAAAGGCAGTGTTCCATGTCAAGATATTTGAAAACTTGAAATAATTTTGCTTTTCAGAAATATTTAACCCAATATATGCAAAACCTTAAACTATTACAATATTCTATTTAATTTTATACAGTATTCTGAAATTTTTCACTTGTTTAATTTGAAAATTTTAATAATTAGATTCATTGCAATAAGTAAATATTACAATAATCAGATTATAATTGTCTGCATCAAATTATGTATATTTAATCCTGAGAAAAAAAGATATGTTACTTTATACTCAAATAACTTACAATTTATACTACAACTTCTACAAAAATGTCTTTATATTTTTCTGTATTTGGCATGATCTGAAGTTATGTTATATTTTACATCTGCAAAGTTTACTCTTTTATATCAAGCAGTTTCAATTCAGTTAACTTTCTTAAAGTACTATTTCAGCTTTCCATTGAAAGTAGATGTTTTTTCGTTCCCATTCTAATCTAAGCAGCTTTCTCTGTAATCCTATTGCCATGAAGATGAAAGACTACCAAACATACCACTCTTGAGTTCAGGATGGCAGAATTTCAGGTCTCTGCAGTTTCTAGCGGGGTTTTTACGAGAACCATCAGGACTAATGAGGCTTTCTATTTGTCCATTAACAGACTTGAGTGAAGTCATAATCTCATCGGTGTTGATTTTGAAATCCATTGGTTCATCTCCATAATACGGGGCAAAACCGCCAGCTTTTTCACCTCCAATCCCAGCAATGGCAGCGGCTCCAACACCACCACAGCAAGGACCAGGGGCACCAGGAGGTCCAGGAGGGCCTGGTTGCCCTGGGTGGCCTGGGGAGCCCTAGAATGAGTAAAACATGGATCATTGAGGTATGCACATTCAGTCGCCACTCTAAGAATACATTGCTAGTCCAAGAAAATGCCTTAAAAATAATTCATTCATTGTGTCATCAGAATTATTTTACTAAAGATTTATTTGGGTGCCTTTAGGGTCACGTGATCACCGATTTATAATAACTACAATTCATTATCAAGAAAGATATTGTTCCACTATGTAAGAATCAGTAGTGTCAGAGCACAAGTTTTCTCTATCATTCTTCCTTCTGGATGACTGATGTAAGCAAACACCTGTGAGCTACAATTCCAATATTGACATGACAGAGGGGAGTGTAATTTGTTGGGATAATTGTTTTTATTTCATTTACCCAAAGGCATGGAATAGAAAGTATTAGGAATGATAGTATCATTAACAAAATAGTAACCATGGAAGCTGTTTGAGAAGTAAAATGCACTACATAAACGCAGATAATTATGAATGTTGTAATTCTGAGATCTCTAGTGGGATAGCAATGTGGACAGGGTTTATTTGGTTAATTGGGCAGATGTCATTATTCTGATACGATGGATACCTGATCAAATTTTTAAAAAGGTATTTTTCTCCTGTTATAGTGTGGTAGAAACATTTTTAATGTGATGGAGAATGTCTTAAAGTCATTGTTCAGTTTCTAAATTGAGTGGATGCATTGCGTCTCTCTATTTCAATTTAAACATAATGCGCTGTGTTTCTGAAAATTGGAAGATTGTAGCAAATTAAATACACATACGTATAAGTGATGTCTTACCTCAGATCCTCTTTCACCTCTGTTACCTCGAGGCCCTGGTGGTCCAATGGGACCTGGATGTCCACTGGTTCCATCTTTGCCAGGAGGTCCACTGGGTCCAACAGGTCCCTAAGAAAGTATCATGACATCACAATGCCAGAATATCTTTCTGAAATGCAGACATCTGAAACATGTGGACCTGTAATATCTTTCTGTGCTACTTACTCTGGGGCCTGCAGGTCCTGGACTGCCGATTGCACCCTGCTGACCAGCAGGGCCCTGGAAAGAAAGGAAGTGTACATAGGAGTGAAGGCCTTAAAAAGCACTGGGAAACTGTACATTCAAGATCAGATCAAGAAACATGGGGATCATGATGAAATTTTTTTTCTTTCTTTAATCTTCCCATTGTGTCATGCTGATTGTTGTTTCAAATTAGCCTTCAAATCCATTTCTCATCTCTTCTAGTACATATTTTTAGAGATGGAAAGCTTTCTTCTCTTAATCTCTAAAATTTGTATACATTGAAGGGATTTTCCAACAAAATGAATGCACTTACTGGAGAACCTGGGGCACCTGGATTACCAGGGAATCCTCGATGTCCTTTGATGCCAGCAGCTCCACGTTCACCTGTTTCACCTTTGTCACCACGTGGGCCTTGAGGACCCTTTAGAAACATATTTTGAATTGAAGTCATATACACACATACATATTGGAAAAATAAAATAGAATTTATAATAATTAAATCTATTTTATGGCTTTCTATCAGCTAAAAAATCCCCCATCAACAGACACTTCAGATAGGAAATGAGATTTGTTTCTGTGGTTGTTTTCATTTTGGACTGATCATTGCATGGATCCCTAACAACTGATGTTTCTATCCTTGGCTCCAAAGAACTTTTAGATCCTGAACTGCTTTCCATATCATTGTCATTAAAGGAAAGTTTATATTTGTTCTATCTATCTATCTATCTATCTATCTATCTATCTATCTATCTATCTATCATCTATCTATAGATAGAACAAATATATATATATATATATATATATATATATATATATATATATATTCATTCTTTTTTCCTGAACACGCTGGAAAATAAAATATTTCCTACACTGTAGAATGAGTTAAAAAAAGAACAAAACAAAATAAAACCAAAAAATGACAAAACTTACAGGAGCACCTCGGGAACCAGCAGGACCGGGAGCACCAGCAGGGCCAGCAGGGCCCTAAGATGAAAACATTCAATTGAGAAGACATACACGGAACTAGTTTTATGTGTTGACACAATTTCGTTTTCAAAAGTAAATAATTTCATTATAATAGAATTATAGTATGCATGCAATTATTGGAAGTTAATATTGTTTTTGCCTTCAAAGTGCTAAAGCCCTGTTTATAGCTTTCTCAGGGGATCTAGACAGAAAAGTTGGGCAAGAGCCCTGTTAACTTGGCCTTGCATTTACCCAGCATATAGATAGTTGGTCTGATTAATATGATTTCGGGTTTCAGTAATGAATTCTTTATTGACTACTGCCAAGTACTTCTGGTATTGACTTATTCACACATTTGTCTAAGGAACAACTAGCATTAAAACTGTAAAACAAATGACAGTGGATATTTTGGTTGGCAGATCTGACATTCTACCTTCTACCTACAAATGTCTTTATTGAAGGAAATAGACAAACAAGACAGATGCTGCTTTTGGGAACTCACACTTTCTCCTCTGTCACCACTCTTTCCAGCTGGACCGACAGGACCAGGTGGGCCTGGATGACCAGGAGCGCCAGGGGCACCAGGAGAGCCATTTTCACCACGATCACCCTGTGAACAAATTCATAGGTACAAAATAAACATGATGATCACTTATTTTGATAACACAAATCAATTGCACATGTGTTTATTATACCTTGCCACCAGGAGATCCATCTCGGCCTGGAAGACCATCTGATCCAGGGTTTCCCTGATTAAAAAATGAGAAAGGAAATAAAATTTCTTGAAACCTTCCAAATGCCATTTCATCCATGCATTCTCAGCAGGGCAATATAATTCTCAAGGGGGTTAAAATTGGTTCTTGGGGGTAAGAAATCTTAGATATTACAAAGCAGTGTGGCCCTTCAAAGGGTCACAATGTCCAGACAGATAGTTAGTGTATTCATGGAGGAGAGGTGATTAGAAAAATGATATCCAAAAAGAGTCTTTACAGACCTCTAATAAATAAAAGTTTAAGAAATAGTGATCTAAACTGTTAGTGGAAATCTACAGTTTAATTAGTTTGCTTTAATCATTCCACATTGTATACATATATTAAAACATCACATTGTACCTTATAAATGTATACAATTATGATTTGTTAATTATAAATAATATTAATTTTAAATTCTTTAAAAATAATAAAAGACTAACCATAGATAACCGTAGAATATTTTCACTCAGAAAACATGTCAATTGTGGTTCTCCCCACTAACTTTTTTCCTAATTTAGTTAGAGATAATATTTTCTCCACAAATGATTATTCATTGGGTAAATACTAATGAACAAGAGCTTTTAAGTCTATCCTAAATTGTAATGAAAGAATTTCTGTTATTAGAGATAGAAGAACTTTGCTATGTGGCCATATTTACACTCTTAGACATTAAAGCTCAATTTCACCTTTGCTGAAATAAATTATCAAATTCTACCTGGCTGGTTGAATAAAAACTGCTACTCACATCTCTTCCAGGTTCACCAGCTGTACCAGCCAGACCAGGAAGACCCTGGGGTCCAGGGGGACCACGTTCTCCACTGAGACCGTTAGCTCCTGGTTTCCCACTTTCACCCTGTATACAAAGGAATGAAAAACATTTTGTTTCAACTTAAGAAATCAATTAAAATGGTGTTATCAGATATCTTTATTTTCAGGTAAAAAACTTATTTTATTTAATCTTCATTGAATTTTAAAATTAAAACTATGCCTGCTATGGGAAAAAATATGGGGGAGCAAGCTTCTTGCATTTTCTAACTTGCTCAGTGACTCTGGATGGCAAAGGGCTGAATAGTTACATTGATTATCTAATTCAGAATACTGTACATTGTAATCTGAGATGAATACATAAACATGATTAGTATAGGGAAAAACAATAATGAGCCATCATGAAACTAGAGGTGTATGGTGATCCTTAAAATTAGGTTATTTGTCTCTATCTGAAGAATATACACTTACCAGAAATATCATATCAATTGAACACACTTAAATATGAAATATTAATTTTATGACAATATTACATAACATTTTGTTGAAAGAAGTACTTAAAGTGCCATAATACGAGCCCTAATAAAAATGCAATTTTATTATCCTGTTTACCAAACGAATGTTTTAGATGCTAAGCACTAGAATGTTATAGGAATATAATACTAGTGAAAGAGAGTCAGGAGTGCAAGATGACTTGAATGGATGGATAACTAGCATTAATGAAAGACTTTCCAAGATCTATAAGCTAACACTATTTCCCCCTTCAAAACTGACAGTCAACAAATTGAAGAATATTCACAAGTTTCCTAAAAGAGGTGTTTGAGATGGCAATATTGTTTTCATCATATTAATTTATTTGTGTTTATATTCAAGGTTTGTCTATGATATGCCCTGTTTTGTGTTCTGGAGCCATTTATTAAAATTTATGCTTTTAAAAATCTAAAAATAAAAAAAAATTATCTCCTGGCTAATTTACTCCAGTGACAGAAAAACTTTTCATCCTTGATATGGTTAAGTGATCTCTGAAGGCTACCAAAGGAAGGAAGAGTGTAGTGGAAAATGACTATACTCACCTTGACACCCTGAGGGCCAGGGCTTCCCCTAGGACCTGGCATGCCTGGTGGTCCTGCAAGACCCCGTGCTCCAGTGATCCCAGCAATCCCAAGTGGGCCTGGAGCTCCCTAATACAGATAATGAAGACTTAGCTCATCTTTATGTGACAGTGTTTTTCTCTAATCGATTTGTGATAAAAATCAAAATAGTAGAATCAATTTAAAAAAATGAAGTTACTTACTGGTGGGCCCTGGGCACCAGGCGATCCCTTCTCTCCTGGTTGGCCAGCATCACCTTTTGGTCCAGACACTCCAGGGCTGCCAGGAGCACCAGTGTTACCCGCAGGACCTGGGGGCCCATCCTTGCCTGGAGAACCGCTGGGACCTGGGGGTCCTGGGTTACCCTACAAATAATTGTTTGAAATTTGAATATTTATAATAAAAAGTGCATTTTTTCTTTCTTTTTTTACTTACTTCAAATAATTTTATTTGAGACTTACTAGAGAAATAAGTAGCAATGTGTAAGTTTCTCATCCTATACATACATGAATGCTCTTTCTGAAGTGTATGATGAGAAAAGACTTTAACAATTACTTACATTACTACCAGGAGGACCAGGAAGACCACGAGCACCAGGGAAGCCAGCAGCACCCTGTGAAATGGTAATATATTTTTGAATTTCAAAAGTAGAACAAATAACTGTACAACAAACAAAAAGTATAATGTGTGGCATGATCTGCATTGTACCTGAAAGTCATTTATGGTTTGTGTTTCCCCTTGGAATTTACATATAACTCATGTATGAATGAGCGATTACAATTTTTACATTCTCTTTATGGAACTAGTGTCTCAAATGCAGCTTTTATACAGGTTGATATCAATTAATGCTTTTCAATAATAGTTAAGAGGATCAATACTTACAGGTCCACCAGGACTGCCACGTTCACCTTTGACACCTTGGGGACCAGGAGGACCCTATATGAAATGGAAGGAAATTATGTAAGAATAGCACCAAAATCAAAATTTGGGAAAAGCATTAAGCCTTTGAAAACCAGGAACTCTATGAAGAGGTTAAAATAACTTTTAGATTGCTGGTGCTGAGATTCATACTTGGACTATATTCATATAAAGATTATATTCTTGACACTATGACATGCTATCTCAGTATAAAATATTAAATTACTGATAAACCTCCATGTTTTTCCATTAGAACACTTAGGACTTACAGAGGGGGGAGAGGGAGAGAGAGAGGGAGAGATAGACAGATAATCAATAGATAGATAGATGATAGATAGATAGACAGAGAAAGAGGAAGGAACTTACAGCAGGTCCAGAACCTCCAGGGGGTCCTGCAACTCCAGGAGGGCCTCCTTCACCTTTCTCACCCGGAGCCCCTCTTTCTCCTTTACCACCAGGTTCACCATTCTGTCCCTACATGCAACAACAACAGCAATCTCTCAGCTGACACTCTTTATGATACAATTGGCTTATTATTATTTCTCTTCAGAATATAGAATTCTTCAGATGGAAGGAGTTGAAATAAAATTTAAAAACAAGGCTTTCTGAAGACATGACAAAATGAAGCCAATCAAAATATTTTCATGATCAAAGAACATGACCAAGAAAGCATAAACTGTGCATTATTTGCCATTAGGGAGGGAGGAAGTGTCTCTAAGGATTAAACATTTGAAAATCAGCACCAGTAAATTTTTTTGAGAAAGACCGGATTTAAGAGAAAATTTTAATTAGTACCATCTTATAATGGAAGAATTTACAAAAATTCAGAGTGCTTTTAAATCCATGATACTGCTTTAGTTCATTACCCAGTCATAAAAGCAGGACAGGTGTTTTTATTTCCATCTTTCAAAGAGCGACAATAGGGGTAAAGTAAAACAAAATAGGGGTACAATAATCCTATAGGGAATGAGCAGCTAAAATGAGACTAGAAACCAAACTTGACTATACTTTTGTAATTTTTCAGCAAGATAGAGATCCTGGGCTATGGGACATGTATGTATAAATATTCACACTTACAGGAGCACCAGGGAAACCAGCAGGTCCTGGAGGGCCAGTTTCACCTCTCTCACCCTGAAGAGAAAAATATCCTCCTTAGTCACAGTGAAGTGTGCGTCATCTCCTTTAGGCAGGAAATGTCATCTTATCATCTTATCTTTTCTTTCCTTTAAGCAGGAAATGTGCAGAGTAGCCAATAAACTTCTGAAGACTTTGCCACTTCTCAATAAAATTAGGAGTGGAAAATACCAGAACCATTGATTCCTTCTGCCTCCTACTGTGATATTATTTGCAAGAAAAATAGTTTGAGAATTTTAAAGTATTTAACACATTTATATATATAGATATTTATGTATTTCAATATATGGTAGAAGCTTAACTGAAAAATTAACTGATTTATTTTTAAAAACCATTTACTAAATATCTTTCCAGAGTCTTAAATCCTGAAGGTCAAGACTTTTAAATCTAGAAGGAGTCTCAGGCAAAGATTCTATAGGCTTAAGAAATACCTAATTACAAACATGTACTACTTGTGCAATTCATGTATTTTTTCCAAAGTTATTTAGGAAAGAAATCCTGATTTAAAATGGTCTCCTGTGAATGTTAGATTTAAGAAATTTAACATTCCCTTGCATGCTATATGGTTCCTTATATGGTTTTTGAAGATAATATCTCCAAATTGAGGCTCAGGGAACTGAGGGCAAAACTGCCAAAAAGGGAAGCATAAGTAGCTACTGTCTGTATGGGGTTAAAAAGTATGTTGAGAATGTCTTTAACACTTACAGGGCTACCACGAGGTCCAGCTATACCTGGAAGTCCGGGGGCACCACCTTCACCCTGGAAAAAGAGAAGCCATGTCACTGTCTTGCATCCAAAAGAGAGAGACATTTTCTTTTTATATCCAGGTAGTATTAAGGGTTACCTTATCTCCAGGCTGGCCAGCTGGGCCAGGAGGACCAATAGGACCAGTAGGACCCTAGAGGAAATAAAAATATTTTTTAATTTTGAAGATACAAATATCGTTTTTTGCATTAATCAAACAGAAAGTATATAGACATAGATACCTAATAAACTAGATAACATACTTTTTAAAAATTTTTATGGCTTGAATGCTATGCTTTTCTCTCAATGTGTAAATACTGCAGAGCTCAGTAAACACAAGCCTCTTTGGGGATAACTCTGGGAGAAAATAGGATTCAGCAATAGTTTATTGATTCATTTATCTTTATCTCCATTGTAGAAGATAAATAGGATGTCATGTAAGATCTTACAGTAATGTCTTTTTAAATTAAAGTACATTTCTTTATTCAATTGCTTGATAATTTAAATGTTTTCTCAAAGTCTCATTGTACATATTAAATTTTTCAACTTGAAATTTTCAAATAGTAGTTTTACTTATATTACAAAACTGAAGTATTGAGCACTCTTTTTACCTGAATGACGGCTTATCTACTTAGTCTGTCAAAAGCGAAGCATTTATGAATTTCTTTAAGGCAACTATTATATAAATTTATTAAAAGACTTAATTATAATCATATTTAGGAGATGTTTTTTGTTTTGTTTTTGACTTTTAGTTTGAATTATAGATTCATAGGATGCTGCAAAGGAATATACAGGGAAATTCTGTGCACTTTTCTCCCAGCGTCCCCTAATGTTAACATCTTACACAACTATAATATAATATCAAAACTAGGAAATTGACATTGATACCATCCATAGAGCATGTTCAGATTTCACCAGTGATACACACACTCATTTATGTGTGTGTATATGTAGCTCTATAGAATTTTATCCCATGTGTAGATGTGCCTGACTACCACCTCAATCAAGATACTCAAATGTGCAATCACCATAAGACTCCCTTGTGTCATGTCTCCATAGCCACATCCATCTCTCTCTTTCTCATTCTTAACTGCTAGCAACCACTAATCTGTTCTACATCTCTACAAGGAAGTTATTTTGCAAATATTGTAGGAATGGAATCATGCAGTATGTATCCCTTGGTGACTGAATTTTCTTCACTGAGTATGTTGTCCTTGAGGTTTGTATAATTTGCTGTGTGTACAGCATCAATTGTTCATTCCTTTTTGTTGCTAAATACTATACAATTTTTAAATATTAAGTCTATTAATGAGGAGTACTTACTATATTGAATTTTGATGACTTTTAGTTTCTTAATGAGCAGCATTGATTATCCTAAATTTCAGTGATTATCTCAGATTTTAGTGACTCACAAATGCTAGTTTGTGACCTTTATCGTACTCTTGAGGCTTTTTCATTCTTTAGTCACTGTAGATCTATCAAGTAGCCATAGATATAGACCACAAATTTCATTATAAATCAAGTCATTCGGGTCTTTAGGTGGTAAAATATCTAATTTCTCTTGAGTAGTTTTTGGAAAAAATTAAAGTTGAAGTGCAGGACTGTCCCATATGACATATAGATAAGGCCTGCTTCTCCTCACTGGGAATACTCACCCTTGGGCCATCTTTCCCTGGGACACCATCAGCACCTGGACCGCCTGGTTCACCCTGTCAAATAAAAGCCAATGTCATCAGATTCAAAGTATCTTCAGTGAAAATCAGCCAAGAAGAGGAGTAACTCTCAGGATTTGTAGGGATATATATTGGGTGTTCTAATTCATTGTTGCTTTAGGAATCCATCTTAAATTTCACTTACTATAAAATGATAACATTAATTTTGAAAATACAGTCGATTACTTTCCAGGAGTGTTGCTTTTTTTAAAACCTACAATGACTGATTTATTGAACAATTAAGAGAAAACAAGTCAACACCTTGTCACCCTTTGGACCAGGACTTCCAAGACCTCCTCTTTCTCCAGGCATTCCTTGCAGACCAGGAGTACCAGCAGCACCAGGTGGCCCAGGAGGACCAGCAGCACCCTGAAAATAAGTGAGAAATAATAAATGATCAGAAGGAAATCAAATGCATTTTTTAAACCTAGGTGAATGGAATGCTGTGGAGTTACCTTTCCTCCTTCGGGACCAGGGGGACCAGCTCCACCTCTAAGTCCTGGGGCCCCTGCCAATCCAGGAGGTCCACGTTCACCAGGGGCACCAGCATCACCCTGTGACAAAAATATGTAAATAACCATATTAGACAACCCAAAGCTAAAAACAAAGCACCTTAACTTGCATCATTTTGAATCAGGCCACTAGGTTATTATATTGTGAACAATCTAGAAATTTGTATACTTAAAAATAGTTGAACAGCTGGGTGGGAACTAGAAGCTTAAAAGAGTGTCTAAAATAAAACTTGGATACTTAGTCTGGTTAAGTGTGAGCTGTCATTGAAATACTTATTATTTTATTCACAAGAGCAACATTTTAAAGTTCTTTTTACCAAAACAGTTTTCCTACATAGAATCAACATATTGGCAATATTTTTCCGTTTGAAATTTTAAGCCCGTATTTGATTCTGTAGTGATTATGAATGTCAGAGAATTGGACCTTCCAGATTAAAGCAAATTTAATGTATTGAAAGTGTCTTGAGTTTCTCTAAGTGTACTTACCAAACATTTGCAATGATGCTCTTTTAAAGAAAGAGTATTTTGGCTTGATATACTAAAAATATACTACTAATCAATTGCTCTATAACCTGCTGAAGAAGGTAGAGAATAAATTGAAATACTACCTTGCCTCCTGGAGCTCCAGGTGCACCGGCATCACCCTTTGGACCCTGGGAGATTGGCATTATATGATTAGGCCCATATCAGAGTGCATTTTATGTAAATATAAGCAAATATGTAAATATAAGCAAATATGTAAATATAAGCAAAATACACATTTGTCATGTTGGCATACTGTATAATTTTTCAAATCTTGAAACTATGAACTCTCTATTTTATGGTAAAATTCAAACTCTATATAATAGTTATCTTTTAAATAATTTGTCTTTGTTTTGATAATATTTCAAAACTAAATGTTAAATCTCAAATATCATGGCATAAGAAAATTAAGAAGTTAATAGTTGACAAACAAACAGTGTGTATTCTTTTTGTTTCTGAGTTTTGAATAATGAAACGTAACTTACTGGTTCCCCAGGTTTTCCATTTTCTCCTGGAGGACCACCTGTACCAGGCAAGCCCTAGAAAGAATCATATTTGTATTAGGTAATTACCTCAAACATGGCTTATAGAAAAGCTTCTCATATGTACACATGTTTCTGCAAGATATTAAAAAAAAGTTCCAGTGGTCTTGTAGGGGTAGAAACGTTGTGCCACTCAAAATCCAGTGACACATACGTGATAATCATATTTTACAAACCCATTTTCATCTCTCTCTGTTCTTTCAATTGCTACACGTAAAAATGTATTGACCAGCATGGCAGGATAGACTTGGCTATATGGATTTATGTTATAATAAAAATAAGTGTAACCAAATAGAATTATTTGAGTTTCATTAATTCTTTTAAATAACTTATTAATGTGCTCTGGAACGGACATGGAAGATATGCCTACCTATTAACATTGCCTAAAATTTTATTTCCAGATGAAAGACAGAATCACAAGTTAAGCTTCAGATAAATTATAATCTATTAGGGACACAAAAAAATTTGACAGTCAGATATGCCGTGACATTTAAATAACAAGTTCTTACTTGTAATCCTTGTGGACCAGGGGGTCCTGTGTCTCCTTTGTCACCACCAGGCCCCTAGAAAAGTATAATGATACACTCTGTTGTAAACATCCTTTTATATTTAGTCTACAGTATCCATTTCAACAGGCCTGTTGCTTAATTATAAAAGTAGTGATGTGAAGAAAAGGGAGGACCTGGACCCAAAGCACACATGTACACTCTAAACTCAATGCTAGCATTTAGCTAGATAACTAGGTCAGCAAGTTTCATCATTGCTTTGGTAAACTGTAACAACATGGTGTCAGAGATTATGTAATTTTTGAAGCATTCTTCCTGCCCCACCTCCACCCTATTTTCATCTCCAATTTTATATGAGTGAACTTACAGTAGGCCCTGGGGGTCCCTGAGGTCCAGTTTCACCATTCTTTCCAGGAGGACCCTAAAAACAAGAACAGTTAGGGAAGTAGAAATAATACAGATTACAGAGAGAAGTCAGAAGGTTGGAGATGAACGCATCTATTAGAAGGCTAGAAATAAATTGAGGAAAGCTACGTACCTGAGGGCCAGGTCCTCCAGGGCCACCTCGTTCTCCATTCTTACCAGGAGCACCCTAAAGAAGAAGTGGTCGGTATTTACTAATCCTCAAAGGGCAATAACTAATCATATTATTGTCTCATATATATATGTCTCATATATATATGTCTCATATATATATGTCTCATATATATATGTCTCATATATATATGTCTCATATATATATATACACACACACACATACATATTTTTGAGACTGAGTCTTGCTCTGTCGCCCAGGCTGGAGTGCAGTGGCGCAATCTTGGCTCACTGTAGCCTCTGCCCCCCGGGTTCTAGTGATTCTCTTGCCTCAGCCTCCTGGGTAGCTAGGATTACAGGCACATGCCACCATGCCTGGCTAATTTTTGTATTTTTAGTGGAGACAGGGTTTCACCATGTTGGCAAGGCTGGCCTAGAACTCCTGACCTCAGGTGATCTGCCTGCCTTGGCCTCCCAGAGTGCTGGGATTACAGGCGTGAGCCAGCGCACCCAGCCTGTTTCATATTTTTTATCTGCCTGCTCCATACACACACATACAACCATAACCAATTATATATTTAGCTCCCTTCCTACATGCAATTTGATTTTCATATACTCCTCCATGCTTTGAAGAGGAGACTGAGTTTTGACCATTTCTTTACTCCATATGGAAAATAAAAGCCTTCCAGTCAAATATTTATTGAAGAAATTAATGAAGGAACTCACATCATTTCCTTTAGGACCGGGGAAGCCCATGACACCAGGCTGACCTCGGGGACCAGATGGCCCAGGAGGACCTGGTCGACCACTTTCTCCTTGACTTCCCTAATAAGAAAAAATTACATTAATAAAGGTTTGATAAAGAGAAGATTAAAGCATGCTATATATATAGTATGTGTGTGTGTGTGTGTGTGTGTATATATATAGATATACATATACATATATATATATACACACACACACACACACACACTCAAGGATAGGCCAACATATACATTCCATTTTAACTGGCCTTTTAAAATGAGATTTTAAAAATGTACATACGGGAGGCCCTGGTTTCCCATCACTTCCTGGTCCTCCTGGACTTCCGGGCATGCCCTGAAGTAAAGAAGTCAGTTGTTAGGTGATTTAAAATGAAATAATAAAAAATTACTACATACACTATTTGTATGATTTTGATATTTTCACTTACATGTGAAGCCTCAGATTTGCACATCTTTTTTCCTGTCTATAAAGTATCTAAGGCAAGTGTTCTATCTTCTCTTCTCCTTGAACTATCTCGGCTTAAGTTTACTTAAAAGAATTTTGTTTTGTTTGGTGCCTTACAAAATATGTAATCTGATTGATTTAAGTTGCTTTTGATCTGTCTTCATTTGTCTTGCCTTTCTTCTGTCTAAATTAAAGTGTCATTCAAACAAATGTTTCTCTGTACCCTCATTCCTGGACCTCCAGGGACGCCATCTCTGCCAGGTTCTCCAGCAGCTCCTCTGGGCCCTGCAGGGCCTGGAGCACCACGCTCTCCAGCAGGACCCTAAGTAGTGAAAGAAATTTTAAAAAAATTAAAATAGCCTTCACTAACCTAGATAGCAACAATATTTTGGTTACAAAGAGAGGACGTCATTTGAACTTTTAAAAAGGGTTCGTGTGTTGCTGAAACATTTATACATAAAATCAGTTATCTTAGCTTGGATTGCCATATTGAAAAAATTTTAAAGCAACTTTGTGAACATCACATGCTTAATAAAACAGTATTCACTGTGCTTAAAAATATAATTATGTGCAGCTAAAATCAAATATCTTAATGCTATGAAATCATATTTGATGTAACCTTAGAGTTTTCAAAGACTTTTCAGGCATTTTAGTTTACTGTACTCTTGCAACGATGCTCAGATAAATGCTTTCCAATTAACAGATAAGTAAAGGATTCTCATAGAGGGTAAGTAAGTGGCTTTAGTTACAAAGCCAGGAAAGTTGTTGAACAGAGGATGCATTATATTAGGAATTTTTCTTAACTCTAATATATATTCTTCAGATATTTAGGTTTTCATGAATGAGAAATTGTATACAAGAACTGCCCATTTGTGGTGCTAGCATTTAGGAACATAGAAACTAAAGTTATCTACCTTTTCTCCTGGGATGCCATTTGGTCCAGCAGGTCCTCGGAACCCAGGGGCACCCTGAAAATAATGAAAGACAAGTATTTCAGTCCAAAGGATTTCAATTCTTTTTCATAATTCTTGAGTGGCAAATATTTTTATGTCATAGAATGCTTTAAACAATATTTTCACTGAACACTCAACTTAAGAAAAATTGGCTGTCTCACCCTGAAGGTAGTTTTATTTAGATGACAGTGATGCTGCTTTTCTTTTAGATGCCCCATGGAAAACGTACCCTTTCTCCTGCAGCTCCTGGAAGCCCATTTGCACCAGGTTCTCCAGGTGATCCATCCTTGCCATCTTCGCCTTTAGCTCCTGGAACACCTGGAATACCAGCCTCACCCTGAAAAAAAAAAAAGATGGTAAAATAAAGAAATTATGACTGAATTTAGTTCAAAGTTTTTACCTGTTTACTTTCTAATTATGTTGCATTTTTTCAAGAAATAACCAGATCTGTTGCAGTAAAACTTACGCGTTCACCACGTGGTCCGGGCTCTCCTTTGGCACCATTCTTACCAGGCTCACCCTAAAGTATAACAAAGTCTTGGTTGAAACACAGGGAGGATTCGACTAACAAATCATCACCAGTAACACATAATTCAGTTATAAGTTATAAGACAAGAGTGAAGTCAATATAAATTCAACTGAACAGGAGCAAAATTTTGCTATTAATTTTTTGTTGATGGAATTAAACTATACCTTTCAGTCAACAGAGAAAAAACAAGGCAACTTACTGCACCACCTCGCAGTCCAGGAGCACCATTAGCACCGGCTGGTCCTGGAGGACCCCGGGCTCCCATCAGTCCAGGAGCTCCAGGAATGCCAGCGGGACCCTAAGAACAAACCAAAGACACTATATTAGCCGAACTTGAATGTTCTTTTATGAATATCTCACTTAAATATCACAAATCTATTGTCATGCAAAATGCAAAAGAAGCCAGTAATGTGTGGATGAGATAAGGCTGAGGAGTGGGGACAGCTTACCATTTCGCCTTTACCACCAGGACTACCATTAATCCCAGGAGGGCCCTAAGTATACAAAAAACAGATAATGTATTAATAGTAATGCAAATAGTTCGTATATATTTGAAGTTGTTTGTGTGAAAATAAATGTATCGATGAGTGTTATGCTTTGTAGAGATTAAGTGAATCCTCCAACTATAACACAACATATGAAATGTGGTCAAAAGAATCATCATTATCTAAATAAATTAGAGATAATATGTACTTCGTATAAATTATTAAATGATACATAAATAGAAGAGATTTTGAATTTGGTTCTTCTCTGAATTTTTATGATTGGTGATTAGCTTGGGGCACATTCTTGAAAGCATCAGAAAACTAGTCTATCCTCTATTCTTTTATATAAACATAAAAAATCATGAATTCTGGAATAGTGCAACAGTCAAAAACTATCATTTTTACTACTAATCAAATCAGTATGTGTCACAGGAGGATCATTTTAGAGCACTAAGCAACAATTTTTTCAAAGTAATTTTCACTGATAGCCATATTGAAGCACATGCTTTCATGGAGTAAGCATGAAACTATGCTTTCATGGAGTAAGCATGAAACTATGCTTACTCCCTCTCAACTATGATACTTACAGGAGGACCTTGAGCACCAGCGTGTCCCTGAGGTCCAGGTTCTCCTCTTTGTCCAGGGGCACCATTTGAACCAGGAGACCCTGCAGGTCCAACTTCACCCTAATGGTAAAACCTTGTGTAGTCAGTTTCTCTTACCACTTCTACTCACTTAGCCACTTCACCCTTCAGTCCTGTTTAAACACATCTCCCAAAAGTTGGAGTAGTGGGACTCTATACTGCAGGTAAAGCAAGGAATCATTAATCGTAAAGGCAGAGAAAAATGTAACTATGTGTGTGTGATTGCATTATCAGTTTCCTAGAAAGAGTCTGGGGAAAAAAAGAAGGTAGCAGAAGAAATATCAAGATAGTTGAATACTAGGGACAACACCTCTTTTAGAATCAAGAATAGGGCTTTAAAGACATGTATAGATAAAAGCTATCCATTTGACTGATTA
The DNA here is from genome assembly GCF_000001405.40 of Homo sapiens. NCBI lineage: Eukaryota > Metazoa > Chordata > Mammalia > Primates > Hominidae > Homo > Homo sapiens. Next base: position 97,985 of record NW_025791764.1, on the reverse strand, counting down.
AAAAAATCAGTTGCAAGAAGCAATCTAATGCTTTTCTCTTGCCTCCAAGATATTTTTATACCCTTCTATAGAAACACATGTTTACCTTAGCACCAGGGGATCCAGGGAATCCGGCAGTTCCAGGAGGACCAGGAGGGCCCTGAAAAAATTAAATACAATTTCAAGAGCTCTTTTTCAACTAAATGAAAGCTGACATACTAGTAAATAAGTGAGCACATATAAAGTAAAGAAGATATTTATGCAGATAAAAATGATATTCATATTTTATGGATATTATGTAGAGAAACAATGTGGTAAAATAAGAAAAGAGTGAAATCTAAAGTTAGAAATTCTTGGTTTCTCCCTACTTTGCCATGAATTCTGTGACTTAGTGCAGGCTACTTTTCCCTGGGCTTTTGTACTCCAGTCTACAAAATGGAGGTAACATCTATTTTATCCATTTTGTAGGACTCTTTAAAGTGCCATGTCTTACATAGGATATTAACTAACATTGGGAGCACCATTCAAATGTTAGCAGTTGATCAAGCAGAATGAGTGTCAGAACCTAGATTTTGTTTATGGGCTCAGTGTCAGTTTTAATCACAGGAGTGTATATACAATATTAAGTATTGGGGCTACAATATTTTTTCACTTTTTAAATTGTAAAAATGGTCAACAGAGATGCTAATGTGTATATTAGAGATATACATATGCATATATATATACCTAAGAGTATATACATATATAAAATATTAAATAATCCACAATCCATAACTTCTCATTACCCTACAACACATAAGAGATAGAAAGTTACTTACTGGTTGACCATCACTGCCTCGAGCACCGTCATTACCCCGAGCACCCTAAAAAGAGAAGTTTACATCAAATATCCTTTTAATTCTGAATGGCTGGTCATGAGTAATATTTTGACCAAAATTCTGACTCAAGTGAGTTGAGTTTTCTTCAAGTACATTAAAATCTGCTTAATAATTATGTATTTTAAAGTCAATTATTACAATTCTGATATATACAGCAACAATCAAATGTAGAAGGATTGGAGTCTGTGTTTTCAGGACTGAATGCAGATATAATGGCTCAAATGACATATGAAAAGTTAACACAAAAATTCTCAATAGAGATAATAATTGTAAAACAATTATTCATTTCCTTTTAACTATAGCCAAAACTTTATCACAGTATCATTGAGTATAATTTTGTAGGAAGGTCTTTTTCCTAACATATTTTTACAGCCTGAAACTTTACTGAGGCTGTAAAAATCTGTCACTTTGGGTTGTAATTGTGTGATGTTAGCAGCTATACTCACTGCAGCCCCAGGAAGTCCTGGCCGTCCTCGCTCACCAGGAGCCCCTCTTGGACCCTACAGAGTAAAATTGAAATATGGTTTTACTCTAATCTTGACATGTGTAAGAACAGTTGGGGTGGGAGCAAAGCCAGTTTTAGGTAACAATGAGGTTAATAATAAAACTGAAAATTATACATAAGAAACATAATTACCATGGGTCCAGGAGCTCCATTTTCGCCTGGAAGACCATTTTCACCCTAGATACATATAAAATATGTTACTATTTTACAAAAGAGGAAGAAAATATTATATATTTTTAAATACAGAATATTATGGAAAAGTTTATAGAGCCTAGAAAAAGATATACATTTTAACAATATTAATTTTCTGTTAGTATTTTATTTACCAGAAATCTCAATTTCTGTATTTAAAAACTTAAAGACTAAAGTGAAGTAATTGATAAGTTATACTAAGATGCTCAACTATTTCTAATCTAGACTCTTCAAGTTGTCATTTTTCATGGAAGCGTTAATAGAATATCTGAATTGGTTACCATTATTCACACCTAATAGGTAAAATTCAGGTAAATTTCAGAAAACAAGTTAAGGCTCACAATATGAATCTTATATGTAGCTTTAATATTTAATGAATTTACTTATGAAAATATGATTTTTGTTGTGATTTACCTTTAATCCAGGAGCACCTGTTTCACCCTTTTCTCCATTTCGTCCATCGAAGCCCTAGGAAATGTATAAAACCAGCAAAATTATTAAAATCTGTTAATAATCTAGAATGATTGATAAAGTTTACATGGTATTTTTCTAATTGGTCTTCATAACACTACTTGCAAAATTAGCTTAAATAATTTAAAACTTGTTTAAAGGGGTTGAAGATATTTCATACTGATTTTACAACAGGAAAACATGAAAACTAGAAAGTGCAATTTAGTCTGATAAGAAAGTTGCCTTAACTATAGAGTAGCAAACATGAGTTTCATAGATTTTATTATAATTCAGTTGATAGGTTGTAGGCACAGTTGGTTGAATGTACGAAATATTTTGCATAGAATAAAGTTGTTCAACTCAATCTATAAATCATATTAAGTCAATAAAAAACATAATTCACAAAATGTTTTTATTTTTCTGATAGTGGTAGTAAGAAAACGATATTTTTCAAGAGTACTTTATACACTAGAAATCAACTCCTTTATTTTGCAAAAAATGACTAGTTTGGTCAACAAACAAACTTAGTAGACTTAAAAATATCAAATTAATTAATTGTCAGAATCATATTTTTTGGCACATAATTGTCCAGTAAAATTGGTTAGGCAAGTAAACATAGCCCAGTGGAATACCTTGTAAACAACTTAGAAACTCTACTTACTCTGTGTCCTTTCATACCAGGGAATCCAGGTATCCCAGCTGGACCTTTGATACCCTAAAAATAATGAATGAAAAAATATTAATGAACCTTCAAATAGAATCACAATCTAGTAGTAAAACACTTTCTGTTTTTAAGTTTAATTCCATTGAATTACATAATAGTTTTCAAGCTAAGATTATTCCAATTAATTTATTAGATGCTGAAGACTCACTGGAGGTCCAGGCAATCCTCGCTCTCCAGGTCGTCCGGGTCTACCTGATTCTCCCTAGGTAGAGAAATAAAGAATACGTAGGTGCTCATGTATGAGAAAATACATTGTAGCCAATAAGCAAAATGGTTACTTTGCATTTTTCTCACAAAGGACTCATTAAAATGGTTCCACAAAATGTATAGTTGAGATCAGCTTTCTTGGTAGAAGGCATGAGGAAGACCTTTCCCACTTTGATATAAGCTTATAAAGAGATAATGCAGGTGCTTCTAATCACTGAAATAACATAAGCCAGTGAAAAGAATTTGCCATTGGAGATTAAGAGGGAAAGAAGGAATGCCATTGAATTGAAGGTATCTATAACTTCTCAAGTTCATTAAATAGTGGTATCAATTTCATCATTAAAAGAGGCAGGCAGAGACACCTATTTCTCCTCCAGTTAAATAATATATTCAATGGATGAGTCTTCTCCGCAGTCAAAAAGCACTTTAAGGATTTTATTTTGGAATTCAACAAATGATATATATAGAAACGCAAATACTGTATAGCTACTCAAAAATTAGTATTAACTAAAATGTTGTTAAGACAACAATATTTTGAATAACATTTTTTTTTCTTCTGGGATTCTGACATAAAGCATATACTGTTTAGAATACACCAAGTTAAATTTTGCTGTATTCTTATTTAAGTTTTAAAAACTTACATCTTTTCCAGCAGGACCAGATGGACCTATAGCACCAGGAGGTCCTGGAGGGCCCTGAAAATAAGGAAATAAAAAATGAATAGATTTGTAAATTTTTCTGTTACAATTTATTATTACACAGTGTATGTATTCCTGGAAGGAACCTCCTTTTAGAAAATACTTTTAATGTTTCTGATAATGAAAATGATACTTACTGAGTTAATATTATACCTCTATTATATCAACTTACTGTTAATAAAAATTAAAAGCATCATATATTACGTATGTGTATTTATAAATCCAAATGCATTTCTACACGTTTAGGAATATTAAATATATCTAAATATAAAGGTATTTCTAAATGTCATGAAATGTTGTATTTAAACTATTTTACTTGCTTATTTACAGAGCATATCCTTCTAAAGGACTCTCTAAGATTATGTTTATTTCTACTGTCTAAGATATATGTATATGTATATTTACATATGTAAATATATAACTATATTTATCAGTAGATTAGATATGAGTGAACTGAGTGTTTACAGAAAAATGAAATCTATATTTAATATATACAGAATTTTTATCAGCTCTGGGAAGTGGACTATTTTGATGGCTAATGATGAGGGAATTCCTTTATTAACTAGTGTCTCTAAGATAGCTAACAATTGAAAGAGTCCAAAAGACTCAATAAAATGCTATTCGTTATTTACAAACTTAAGGGTAAATTTAATCTTCATTCTGTAAAGACCTATACTTGTTTTAGAAAACAAAGGTAGGTTCCATATGGAATTATCGACTTACTAAATATAAATTTAATTGTTACTTACTGAAGGACCAGCTTGCCCAGGTTCACCAGGGGGTCCTTGGTATCCTGGAGATCCCTAGTGAGTAGAATATGTAAATAATTTTAAAGTAACAAAATCTTCATATAATTCATTTACATCTTGACAGTAAGAAATCAGGATTGTGAATGTAATCAGCAAATTTTACTCCAGTTTATAAATATTGAGACCAAATTATTTTTAGATCAGAATGAAGTTAATGTATTTCATTCCATTCATTGCAATCCATCAAAACTGAATGGTTTTGAACTAAAAGTCATATTACATGCAAATTAATGTGGTTTAATTTTACCAAGATTTCAATTGCTAATAACTGTTGGTGGAAAGGAATTAAATATGGAATTCCATCTTTGAAGCCTTAATCAGTTTCTTGGTTATGATTTCTCTAGTTAACTGGGATTATGCATGCTGGAATGGCTGAATTATAGCAGAATATATATTAATTTGATTTTTCTAAAAATGAGGAAGAAAACACCACCAATGGCTATACTTACAGGGGAACCAGGATGACCAGATGTACCAGGGGGACCGGGAGGGCCTGGGGGGCCCTGGAATGTGAATTTGAATGAAAAACAAAATAAATGAATGCAAAATACACTTTATCCATGCTTCAAAGCAATGACACTCGCATTGTTAAAACTATGAACAACTATATCTCATCTTTTGATAACTTTTTGATAACTATTCATGAGATCTATAATGAAGATCTTAGCAAGCAAACATTACTGTAATGAAATTCTCACAGATTCTATATAAATTATTAATAAATGTTATAAAATGTTGTCCTGAACTCTTAAGGAAGGGAATTAAAAATCTGGAAAAACTAGTACATAATGCTATGAAAATCCCTGCAATGTTAGGGTTATATTGCACTGGTGAAGAAGCAATTTCTCGCTTGGCAGCCAAACTCAGTGCAGAAAAACATTTATTGGCACACTAGAAATCCTATAATCAAGTATCTAAAATAATAATGTAAATCAACCCAAAAGTCCCATAATTATGTTGATATATCTATCACAGAGTTAATTGACATAGAGATTTATATGATCATGCAAGAATCATCATACATAGGACAATTGATTTATCATTGTTCAGAAATACAGATTAAACTAGAAAACCTTCAGCAAGCTGAAAACAGTATGCTTCAGTTTTGTAACATGCTGTTTCTAAATACTGATAGTAAATTTATAAAACAATAGTTTGTATATTTCCATTTTCTCTTATAAACACTTTTCTGAGATGTTAATAAGTGTTGACTTTGGTTTTTTTTTTTAGTAAAAATTTATATGTGATTAAAAATAGGTTTAATAATATGAATAAGATAGAAAGAACATGATAATGCTACCATTTTCTTTTCCAACCTTAGTAGGGGTAAGCTATTTTGTACAATTCCATAAAAATACTGAATTCCTAGAAGAGCAACCATTCAAGATTTTACAAACCAGAAAGATAATAAAGCTCCAAAATGCTGAGAAACATTTGTACGTACAGCTGGTCCAGGATAGCCTGCGAGTCCTCCTACTGCTACTCCAGACTTGACATCATATGAATCATACTGGGGAGAATAGTTCTGTGGCAAGGAGACAAATAGATATGATCATTTTAACAGACAGTTCATAATTCTTTTAAAAAGCATTTAGAAGTGCATGCAACATCTACTGTCTACTGATAGGTTTTTGTGTGCCAAAAGATGTGGTATGTATTCACTAATTATCTTGTTTATCGTGTCTTTCTGTAGATTTAGACGTTAGATATCCTACAGAAGCATTTTCTTGTGGGATGCACAAATCTTTCCACTGTGTTCAATGTTAGTTCCCCCCAATTTTTCCTATTATGCGCTTACTTAAGCTATTATTTCTAAGCAGTAGCTACATCATTACAAACATAGGATCATAGGCTGTTTGAGGCCAAAAGAGTCTCGAGATCATATAATACACCTTCTCATTTTGAGCAAAAAAATGAAGTCAAATTATTTTTCAAACACTTAATGATACAAGTAAAATTCATATCCCCTGGATTCTGGTTAATATGACTAAAAGATTCACTCAAAAATAAACATCTCCATAGAAAATAAACCAAAAAATAGTAGAAAGGCTCATATGCTTATTAGATTTCTTTGAAGCTTTTTTTAAATTCTAAGTTCCAGGTCTAGAGTTAGGTTCTGTTTGGTTACTAGAATAAGAATAACTTAGACAATATACTTTGGTTCTTGTTGAATTGCTTTTTGAAATGCACTTTTTAACCTCACAAAAATTTGTGTAATATATTTTCTCGTTTCACCTAATTCCATGCAACAGAAATTTTGTCATATTTATTTGTTTGGTTGTTTTACCTGCAGATTTATTTGGCTGCCATGCTTCAGGAGAAGCAAGGTGTGCTCTGAAGTATTAGCAAGAGCAGTTTCATAGGCAGAAATAATCCTGTTCAATAGGAATACTAACAGTTCTTCAACTTCTTTTTGTCTAAACTTTTAGAGGCTTTGACATTGGTATTAGTAGGAGAATAAAGTATGGATACAGTACTAACTAAATTATTTAGGTTAATTTTTTTTGTTAAGTTCATAGTTCACTTCTTAAACATAATGTGTATGCTATATATCTGCTGAGAAATTAGCAAATTTTCCAAGGATATAGTAGCAATGACATTAGCATTATGAGGAAAAATGAATACTTATAAAGTACTTAGAATAGTGCCTAATACATAGAAGCACTAAATAAGGATTTATTAAATACACTGAATCAGAGAACAGATACAAAGAACTCATAATAGTGAGACGTAATATCGAGTAAAGAAAGAAGATGAACTAGATAGTTTTATGAGGGAATTTTTTAAGTACCGTAATTGTTATACCTGAGGACCAGTAGGGCATGATTCACAGATTCCAGGGGGGCCAGGAGAACCAGGGGACCCTGGTTGTCCTGGAATACCAGGGTCACCATTTCTCCCAGGAATACCAGGAGGGCCCTAAAAAAGAGATAAAAATAAATTAAATAGTGAAAAATCCTGGTGATTCACAATCATTATCAGATTGTTGTTTCTCTACTTTATAATATTAGGAAACAATATAAGTAATATATTTTCTTTATAACACATACTTTTTAATCAAAATCTTGTGAATAATTTAAGTATAATGTATTCCTTTGTATATTGACCTACACATTTTCTTTAAACTGATCATGGGGGTGAAGACATAATATGAAGTTTGGGAAATTGAAATCTTTACACGTACAATTATGGATTCTCAGTCTGTTGTTTGGTGCCATTATTCAAATATGTGGTAATGAAGAGAATGTATGATGAAAGCTCAAATCTAGAAAAAGCAAACTCTTACTAGAATTATCATTAGTATTAATTTTATTCTACTGAAGAATGTTTACTTACTGGATCTCCCTTGGGGCCTTGAGGTCCTTGACCATTAGGAGGGCGAGTAGGCTAATAAATGGAAAAGAAACAAGTTAAACAAGACACAGAATTTGCATATTATTTAGTAACCCAGATTCTAACCAATCCTTATCTTTAAATTGAAACGGTCACTTTTTACTCGTAATACAAACATGGCTATTTGATGAACATGACTTTCATTCCCTTTTAGGCTCCTATGATATAGGAGCTATTCATGTGTCTAAATATGAATATTGAAGATGTACAGTTTATCTTTAAACTCACAGCAGTTGGAGGCTGTGGGCAAACTGCACAACATTCTCCAAATGGAATTTCTGGGTTGGGGCAGTCTAATTCTTGATCGTCACATATTATGTCATCGCAGAGAACGGATCCTGAGTCACAGACACATATTTGGCATGGTTCTGGCTTCCAGACATCTCTATCCGCATAGGACTGACCAAGATGGGAACATCCTCCTTCAACAGCTGAAAAACAAGTTAGATGACGTGAAGTTTCCTTAGGTTTTGCTGAAAGGTGATTTTTGTTACTCTGTTAGGACTATTAACAATAGCCAAAGTTGAAAAGGTTTGAAACAAATAATTTCTTCCTTTCATTAGAAAATTATACTTGCCCTATGTAATTTGCTAAGTAGCAAGAAATTAATTAAAATATCATATCTGCTTGTTAACATAAAATTGGCACACCATAGTCAATTTTCCTTAAGACCAGCAGATATTTTAATTTCATTTATAGTAAGAATTAACATCAATGTATATCACACAAGCATTTAAACATTTATTTATTAAAGGAACATTGAAAATAAGCTCTTCTACCCAATTGCTATTCTTTGCCTTAACAGCAGATGGGAGCATTAAACTAAAGAGATGATTTTGTCACTAACTCTGAAGACTTTCTGGATTTTATCAACCTAGTTGAGAAATTCAGGGGAAAACTGAGCTAATCTTGGCAGCATAAAACTCTACCAGATTTTCCTGGGAAAGTTTTAACAGAACTTATTATGTGTATTGAATGTCACTGTTAGCTCTATTTGGCATTAGTAGCTCAACATGATATGACATAATATATTGTATATCCCATATGGATGTAAAGACATTTCCAAATCACCAAAAAGAAAAGAAAAAGATGTTTTTAAAATAAACATTGGCAAGGAATAAGTAAAAATAATAGGGAAAATATGAATCATAACCATCTGTATTTGTGGCTTAAAATGGTAAAAAAAATTGCTTCAACCAAAATTTTAGACTTGCTTCATAATTATATACAAGGTACTGAAATTTCAGCAGCTATTAACTATGAATCAGCTTAGGAATTGCCAAAACAAAACCTGGTCTCAATTCTTAAGGCATTAGCTGTGTATTGTGGTTAAATACAACTTTAGTTCTTGACAATTAGTATGATAGTTTGCCAGTAATTGAGTAAATAAATAATAAGTTTCTAAGCATCTGCAAAAATTTTTGCAAACAACAAATGATGTACTGTTCAGTAATTTATATTTTTGTGAGATGGTGAAATTTTTATTTTCTCAAAGCCAAGATATTTAAAATGTCTATTGAAAGAGGCCTGCTACCGAGTAGGCAAGTAGTTCAAAATTAGTTTTTGCCGCCTAGTGGTCAAGAGGCCTTTTAGTGGTCCTAAGATTTTTCCATCTGGGCACTACATGCAGCCACAAAAGATCACCTTTTCGAGGTCCCGTTGCTATATCATCTCTCTGTCTAGGGTAATAATAATTTAGGTTTGTGTTTAAATGAGTTGAAATGTTTAGCTGATTTAGTAAATGTTCACCAAAAAGAATTTCAAAACCTAGACTCTAGAAAGTACTGCAATTGCTTCCCCACCTCATTTCCATTTATGTGTTCTGATACAAATTTAATGATATTGTACAAGACACTTGATCTACTCAAGAAGTTTTAAAAATCCATTCTTTTTTATGTTACAATTTCTCAATGTAGTTTACAGCTAACGAAGGAAAGCTTCATTTTTTAATTGCAATTTTAAGTAGGCAAATAATTTGTTTATTTAGAAAATTTATTCTAATTCCTCCCCTATGTCTGAAACACATATATGAGAACATGGGATATATTTTCTATATACATTTCCTAAGCTTTTAAAACAGCATTTCTTAATTCTTAGTGAATATAAAAGCTGAATACCAAAATGCTTATCTCAGTGGAAATGAAGTAGGCCTATTTGAATGGTGTTACGGAAAATATATTTAATAGAAGAGCAAACAGTCATTTACACATTGGTGTGAAGAGTAATAACAGGTGAGTCTATGCATTAAACTCATTTTGTTCTCTAGACAGAACTGGCGTTTCATATTTAAGTACTAAGTTCACCAGTCTGCAGAAAAGGTCCGAAAATTTGGGTTTGGAAGATTGTGCAGTAAAATTACATGGAACACTGTAATTACATTGGTTCCTTTTCTCAAAATGAACCACTTAAAAATTTTCTCCAAATCAACTTTATATGAAATATTCCTACAGATTAGTTTCAGCCCAAGATTTTCCCATTAATAATGTGTATTTTAAGCCCTCCAGATCCATCCTCAAAAGCATTGTTAGATTGTACAGATGATTCTTTTAGCTCATTGCCTCTGGATCAGGCATATCTTTTCACACTTAATACAGCACGTGGATTATGAAAAACAGCCATTGAATACTAAAGGCATATTAAAGACAAATGAAGATAATAGTTAAAGCTAGGCTCAAACATTTCCTATTTTAAGTATCTTCTATATGTTCTTGATCTGCCTAGAAATTAACATAAATACTTTTCCCTCCTGTGTATTCATCCTCCTATGTTTATGTCTCATTAAGGGTGTCCTCACATCATTAGAAATACAGTACTTTCCATTTGTTCTGCTAATTATTAAATAAATGAGCACAATATTGACTTATTAAAATTGTAAATGAGTTTGTTAAAATTGGGTCAAATGCAATGTTATAAGTATTAACGTTGTTATTTAGCTTATTGTTTCTAAATTTTATTAGAAACATATTATAGTACTTTTTAAAACACGGAGGCCTCAATATAAAGATTATTTTAGTGCAATTTTAAAAATTATCATATTCTTAAAATATTTTTCTCTTCTCACCTGCACATGACAGTCAACATGGTGCATGTATGTTTTGTTTTACTTTAGAAAGTCATATTGTTTTAAGTAAAAAAAAGAGAGTTGGAATGTTTAAAAAATAAGAATTAATGCAACTTTATTTATTGCCATAACTTATTTCACATCCACTTGAAATAAATTTGGCTCTCCTGAGAAGTCAGTTCCTGTAAAAACTTGTGGCTGAAAATTAGCCCTTTCTCTGTTTTTCTACCTTAGTTACCTTTGCTGAAAAAAATAGTTTTGTATAGCTTCCTTTATTATTCCATGCATGACAAAATATAGTTAGCAATATATTCTACTGAAAGTTAAAGCTCTTAGATTGATGTTTCATGGACCTTCATTTAATACCTAGTAATATGTGCGAAAATCATGGCAAAGTCAAGGAAAAGAATGTTTTGTTTCTAGAGGAATAAAAATGCTCTAGTTAGCCATTTGCAACATTTAGAAATAGAATAGAAAATGGGATTTAGAAGTAAGTCATCTCATATTATTCTCTTCATTTCTTAGATATCTGCATTCAGAGTAGCTTCGGTTAAAAAAATAAGTTAATTTTTTCCAAAAATATTAAATAAAAGGCAAATAATTTCATTCTACTATTGAAAAGTAATGGACTTTCCAATTATTTCCATTATTTTAGTTGTTTAAACTAAATCTCTCTGTTCCAATTTATAATTAATTTTAAATTCCATCTCCCATGTCATTTGGTGTTTCTGTTCCTTACTACGAAGTACAATTCTGAAAGAAATTTACTTGTGATCACACAAGCAATGTATTAAACTCAATCATCTCCTTGCTGGGATCTATAATATAAAACATATTGAAGCTAACACATGTCTTAAACCACTCTTAGCTGCTTCTTTCCTAGTTTTCTATTTTGGAATTTTAGAGAAAAATAAAGCCAAATAACATAATTTTATATTTTTAGATGTGCATAAAGCTTACTATTTTGTGATTTTTTTGTTTCCATTCTTCATGTTAAATCATGCTGACTTGAAGAAATCATATTGTTTGGACAAAAAATGAATGTTATGTTTGTCTTAATACTATTTTTGGAGCAATAATATTATTCCCTAAAGCACCTAATTAAATTAATTAATTTGGCTTGAATGAAAAGTGAATGTTTTTTCCTTTTCTCTTCTTACTAAATCCTTATCTGGGAAAAGATGTTGTATAATCTGAAAATCTAAGAATCACAGATATGATATATAAATTATCATAATTATTTTCATTACTTTAGAAAGCTGAATATTTTGTACATGTGGGTATTTGGCATTCATATAGTTTCCAATTGAAATAATGTTTGGTTTGCCTTTTAAATGATATTGTTTGGAAAACATAAATTTTAATAAAATATTTTTTCTGCTGCTTATGTATTTATCAGAGTATCTTAAAATATGTTAGATTACTTAACAAAAAGGACTCTGAAGAAAGTATCTGTAGACATTCTAGGTGAATAATTTTAATTTAAAAGCACTGTTTTGCATAGAAAATAAGATTTTATTTATTCTTGCTACCTCCAGGAAAAAAAGTTGATAAATTATCATTTGTAGATATTTTCTTGTTTCATATTTTATAGATATATGCTTTTTCAATCTCCTTAGAAATGTCCTTTAAGTTGATTAATCTTTTAGAATTCAATTAATCTTTTAGAATTGTCTAAAAGATTAATCTTTTAGAATTGTCTAAAAGATTAATCTTTTAGAATTGTCTAAAAGATTAATCTTTTAGAATTGTCTAAAAGATTAATCTTTTAGAATTCAATCTCCTTAGAAATGTCCTTTAAGTTGATTAATATTTTATCCTGTTAAAAATAAAAATAATTAGATAATTAGAAAATTTTAAGTATCATATATCTAACCACCAGCAATTGCATATATAATAAAATCTTCTTAGTGTCAAATTATAAAAACATTGAAGAGAATATATTCTACTTGTCTTATTACATTTGGCAAACAACTTTAAATTGTATAGTCTTATAAATAAAATTTTACATTTCACCATCCTTATCACTAAGTTACTAAGTACTTTAATTTCTTCCTTAGAGTAATTTTATTTGCCAGCGTTAGTAAAACTAGTGCTATAGTACCTCCTATCTTGTAGGGACTGCTCTGAGTAGTTTGAATATCTATTTTGCTTCATACTCCCAAAGGCCTTATGAGCTTACAGCTGTCATAATCCTAATTTTACAGATGAGGAATCTTAACTGCAGAAACATTAAGTAATTTTCCCAAGGTTACACAGTCAGGGTGAAAAAGAAGATCTGAGTGTAAGAAGGCTTTCTCTAAATTTGATACTCTTAATTACTGCATTCTATTTTCTTTCTGCTATTTCAAAACTGAGTACGATTAAAGAAGCCAACTCCAAAGCTCTGTCCCATATGATTTTTTATCCCTGCAAGGTTAAAATCTGAATCTAGATAGGTATATTTTGAAGGACAACAGTTCTTTGCAAAATATTTTTCTATCTGGCCTCAAAACAGGAAGATGCCATCTGGAGTTAAATTCTCCTGTTTATTTTCTCTTGACCTTATGAAGAAGGGTTATATCTCTAAAGCTACCCTGATGACATCCAGACCACCAACAGAATAAATGTGTGACTCAGAAACCCTGCATACATTTTGCTATATACAAAAAAGTAGGGTTCTAACAACAATAGTACCAGACAGAAAAGACTTCTGCATCCAATGCAAAAATATGTTTAAGATGTCTCATTAACACACTGTTTTTCAGAAAATATAGTTACTAAATGATTCATGTTAATATACATCTAAGTTCATCAGAAGTTTTCACTGAATGAAACTGGAACGTTGTGAACATGCTATGCAACTCCAAAGAGTATTTCTGTGATTTTAATTTACTTGAGAAATGCAGTCTCTGTCATCCTCCACACAAAATACTATAGAAAAACAGTTTCAGAAAAATATATGCCATTTTACTGAAGCAGTACTTTCTTAATACTAGAATTCAAGGGAAGTTTAACTTTTAATAATTTCTGGATCTTTTCTCTTTGATGTTTACATCTTTTGGGCATTTTGACTCGTCCTCTTTCAACGTTTCATTTTGTTCATTAAGACTACATTTTAAACAGCAGTGCTTGACCTCAGTCATGGAAAAAAACAAGGGTTTTATTAGTTAATCTGAAAGGAATCCACTTCTGCTGTGTTTTCATTAGACACAGACTGAAACTCTGGTGGTTAATGTAACTCCCCCAACTGCAGTTCACAAATGATTTATGTAAGAATAGCTATCTCATTTTTTCCGTTGTCATCTTGACATGAAACAGGCAAAGTTTCCCCTTTGAAAAGTCTGGAGAGTTTTTTTTTACACTATATGATCTTTTTTTTTTTTTTTTTTTTGAGTGTGGAAACAATGGGATTGAGCTTTTATCTTAGGGAAAACTTTTACAAGAAACAGTTCACTGAGAGGGTTCCAGAAAGTTATTGTAGACCTGGAAACTTTACAACTGTTCCTCATGTCCAGCAAAAGCAATAACATCTTTCATCTTTAAAGCTTTAATTCTTTAAGCAATCTACTTTAATCACTTCAAGGCGGTGATATCATTAGATGTTACAAAATTAAAGAGCTGGGCTACATAATTTTTGGAACTCTGCACCAAAGAAGCCATTCACAATGGAAACTGTGGAGTTTCGGTAGATGGCACTCTTTTCTCTGAGTGACAACTCAAGGTCCAGCATGTGACCGTAGATGTAGAACAGGGGCTTTCCTGAGGAGCTGTCCTTTAGCCTCAACTATAATCCTGGTAAACTCACAGCCAATCATTCTTGATTTTTAAAAAGAAGCCTGTAGATAAGACATCAATCCAGGAATCTGAAGTAGTTAAGAGGCATTTAATCACAGTCTTTCCTTCTTTCCCAGAATTGTTCCAGTGGATTTGCTTTCTTTTCTTGTAATGCTGAAATGTTTAATTCCAGAATTTAATAAAAATACCTTTTTATATGTAGGCCTTTAGATCACTTAAAGAGTATTCAACATCAGATGATCTAAAGGCCTATACATAAATAGGTAGTTTTGAAAATCCAAATTTTTCAAGGCTCTGTTATTACCTGAGCATTTTTCTTTCCCTAGAAAAAAAGCTCAGGTAAGTAAATACAAGGTATCATGGATGAAAAACACAAAGTGTTATAATACTTTATTTACTCACACAGAACTGGTGATAATTTCTTTTAAAATGATAAGATCCTGAGCTTCTGGGGTTTAAAAAAATTAACGTACTACTCTCTATAAAATTGAATATTAAACAGAAAAATACCTATTCTTTTTTCACCTTTAGAAATGCATTATTAGTTCATGTACTTTCTAGGACGATATATAATTTTTTTAGTATCTCCTTTCAATGACAAATAGTTACAAAATTAAGAAAATTCAAATATCTGATTTTAATGTGTATTCTATAATTATCTAAGACTGAACAGAATATTGGTCCTAGCCTTGACTCCGTCATTTTCTAGTTTTGTAATCTCAAATAAAGCACTGATCCATGTTAGGTGACTGACACTGAGATATGTGAGCAACTATGCATTCTCTCCCTTTAAAAGTGCAATTGTTCCTAAATGTATGTAACCTTTTCCTGTTAGTTCAGTGTGTTTAATTGTAGGGACAAACACAAACCAGAAAACTTGAATGTTACCTGAGCAAGTTACAAATTCCCTCTTAAAGCATAATGAAAAAAATATACTCTCATGACGTCTAATAAGAAACTGATTCTCTGAGTCCATTTACAGTTTTAAAATTCTAAAACAACTAGAGGCCTACAGTTTATTTTACTGGAATTATCACTGTAGCAAAATATAGAAACTCAAACATTAGTACACATTTAATTAAAATAAAGTTTCTGTTTCTGCCCTAATGGAGCAGTATTACTTAGTAACAGCTGTCTATAATCTATCTAACAATTAAGCAGTGAATAAAATACTTATGTCAAATAAGGACTACATCAGAGACATGAAAAATGTATTTAAACAATAGTCATATGTAGAATTTTTAAGTGGCCGTAACATTTAAGCTAATTTCCAAAAAGACTCTGAATATTGTTACCATTGTGTTTTCGTGTCAGTATATGTGTTTGCAATATTTATCCGTAACATACTAATTTCCTTAGGAGAGCAGTGTTAACATTTAAAATTCACGCATATGAATTTTTTAAAGCTCATTATAAACTACCAAAGCCAGCTACATAACATTAATATTGGCATTCGTTATGTAAATGGTAACCTGGCTTGTCAGCCACTAGGTGACGCATCTTTGTACTTAAAACTTGGCATGTTTATAATCTACAGGAAATATAAAACAGACTATGTTTCTCCATTGGTGGATTAAAACACATGAATTAAATACAATGTTCACAAATTTGTAAGACGACCAAAATTCTTTTTGAGGACTTGTTTGTATCCAGAAAATGCCTGTGAGTGAACTAGAAGTGAGTGTTCATTAGAGCTGTGCCGTCTCTGAAGTTATGAGGGCATATATAAGAAACCCCACCCCAGAACTTTATGACAGCTCTCAGTGTGCTGTATATTCAGATACCTCCTGTAACTTTTCCAAAGCTTATCTAATAGCAGAATTTCCTTGTAAAACCCACAGGGAACATAAGATGTACTGTCTTAAGTCACTTCAACTTTACTTTTACTCATGACAAAAAAAATAGGCTGAACAGTTCTCTTTCAACTCTTTTTGAGCTTAAGAACACACAAACACATATCAGCAAAATTTTATACTTATTGATTATTTTTTGCATCTAAAGAGAAAGAGGGAAATAAACAGAACTTAATGTGATGTCAAGGTACTGTAAGTGGCAAACACCCCCCCACTAAAGTTGGATTGGGAAGAAAAATAGCCACAGTGCTTATAAAAAGCTTGCAACCACGAGGCAACTACAAATATGTTGCAATTTTTTGAGCTAAAACCCCTAAGTTTGTAGTCTTTTCAATAAATGGTTGGTGGGGGATAGTAGTCATTTGGTATCCTAAAAAAGGACTGTGAGTTGTAGCATCTCCTGGGAAGAGCAGGATAGGGAGGAAAAGGGGAGAGGAATGAGAAAGGAAGAAGGATTGAGAGTTCAGGGGAAAGAAAGGGTGAGGAGGCAAGGAGAGAGAGAACTAAAAAAAAGAAATGGAGGCATAAGGAGGCCACATGGGGAGTAGGGAGGGAGTAACAGGCAGGGAAGACAGAGGAGGAGAGAGGAGTAGATATGGGCTTGCCTAGGAAGGGGTGGGGTGATGAGTGAAGAGAAGTCTAAAGGAGCCAAAAGGGGTGGAGAGAGATAAGGAGGAGGGCAAAGCGAAGGAGAGGAGGGGTAAGGAGGAGAGGAAATTAAGGGAACAAGGAAAATGGGTGTTTCTTTTCTTTTGTGTCCATGGGCTGAATATAACTGAAGACATTTCATTGTATATCTACCCCTCCCCTCATACACACATTTACATGTATTAGCTATGAGGACAACAAATACATTTGATATTACAAACAAAAACCAAATTTTCATGCAGTGTCCTTTGCAAAATCTATATGTTTAAATGTAACCATGTTTAGTTATGTGCAATAAAAATTGTCTAATAATTTCTCCTAGCTATCTTTACATTTAGCACTTAAATATTTATTTCTATGGAAGTTTGTATTCCAATTTGTTCAGCATTTTCATGACTATGGTAAATAAAAGAATATTTTCACATAAATAATGAGACAAATGTGTTTTTAGGGGAAATTAGAATATGAAAAACATTACATGCAATTATTAGAAAATATAGCAAAACAGCTTTCTGAAGTCAAACAGTACTAGTATCTTTACCTTGTTTGCAGCAAAGTCAAACCTCCTGTTGAAACATTTTAAAAAATATTTTCTTCATTAATGCGAATGTGGTTAAAACGTAGAATATGTGGAAAATATTAGTCCCTTAATATCAAGCTACTAGAAAAGATGAATTAATCAATCATTCTTGAAACAAAATAAAAACAGGAATAATAAAATATTTTAGCAGTTTGATCCCTTTGAAGAATGTTTATAGGTATCTTGTAGCCATTTTACAGAAATATATTCAATGATTCTGATAATGCGTAGAATCTTCCTTTAGACTGTTCTTAATCCATGATATTTGAAAGGCATTCTTATTCAGAAAACAATGCTCAATATTCTAACCTTACAAAGAATCCAGCAGACAAAGAGGAACATAAAATTATTGCAAGAGACCAATAACTTCCAGACTGCCTGGGGAAGTATTCCAAGATGTTAACAATCCAGGAGGGAAAAATTTTAAAGCCATTTTTAAAAGTTTCCAGTGCCTTTAACATGAAAACAAGTTAGTACAAGAACATCTTATCTTAACCACAGAACTCTTAAAAACACACATAACGCGATTATTTTTCAAGTAATGTAAAAAGCACAGCCATGGTCAGTTCAACGTTTCACAATCTGGAGCTTATAGAGGAAATTATCTTGAATCAGGCAACTGATTTTCCCCTTTACACCCCTCTTTGTGAGGAGAAGAAAGACAAAAATCCCATAAAGTTTCTTGAAATCAGTACCTACTCACCTTCCTGTTGTGCCAAAATAATAGTGGGATGAAGCAGAGCGAGAAGTAGCCAGCTCCCCTTTTGCACAAAGCTCATCATGTCTAAATATCAGACATGAGACTCTTTGTGCAAAAAGGAGAAAAGAAAAGCAGTTCAAAGTAGCACCATCAAGTTGTTCCCTGCCCTTCAGCACCGGGCCCGTCATAAAACTCAGCCACTGAGATTCCTTTGCTTTGGCCTTAAATAGGAAAAAGTTTGGCTTCCCTCACTTTCCAGCCCCTTTCTGAAATATGAGAGCCGCACCCATCCCCTCAGCAGTAAAAGAAATGATAAATATTTCTTTTTCCCTTATAGAAGACACAACCCACAGTAAGAAAAAGAGCACATCTGGAGTTTGTATGCATCTGCTTATGTAAAAGTTTTTTTACATATTTCACTCTTACATATATGTTTGTATAACTTAGGAACGTATAGAAATGCTCTGCCTTGTTTTAATACATACAATGTAAATGCATACATTTTTATTTCCCCTTATGAAGTTAACAACTGCATAATTTTGAAAAACTGCTTGATGCCCATTTATCTAGTATGTCTAATTTACAGAACTGATCTTCCTAGAAGATTTTTATGTTGGGATTTTGCCAGAAGTAATCCTAACTCAATTTAAATAGGAGACTGTAAGAGACTCACGGAAAGAAATGCCACCGTATGCCCCTTCGACTCATCCACCCACCCTGGGTCCTAGAAGTTAAGTTTCAGGCAAATATCAAAAGACAAAGTATTTCAGCAATGTTTGAATGGCTTCCTAAAAGTTAGATACTTATCTATAGCTGTTTCCATTTCTCACAAATTTCTTTAGCAAGCCAGAGTGCTTTCTTGTGAGATTTCCAATTTTTATGCTGCCTGGGAAAGACAGAGCAGATTTTTCTAGAGAAAAATTCAGCCTTTTCATGACATAACTTTTTAGGAAACTGGAAGAGAAAGAGTTTATCACATAGAATAGCAAAAGAGTACCAGAGAAAGTGGTCATTTTTTCTGCATTACTCTAAAGATTAGTATAAATATTTCTAATTTAGACTTTTATGTGTATACTTTCCAGATCCTCATCCACAAAACTTTCCAATGTATTTCTGGATCTATCTAAGCAGTAATTTTTGTGTCATATTTGAAAGAGGGGCAAATACCATTTATAGGTCTTTGATAAATCTCTGCAGGAAAAATATGCTTGTCCACAGTATAAGGCTATATCTGGCAATGGAGATATCTCTTTACACCCTAATCATCAGTTCATAGTTAGTTCATCTATCTCTATAATCTACGGTGGACATTTCAATTCTAATCAAGGTCACTTGAACTAATTTTCTTCACCTTCACCTAAACATGTCCGTCTCTATGCCTGTGCACATAAAATTCTCCCCATTTCACACCAATTAATGGAAGTCACTTCCTTATGCCTCAATGCAAAACTTTCCTCCTTAAGTAAATTACCTCCTTTAAACTAATTTTCATCTTTCTCTTTCTTCTAATTTGTGTTACTAAATTTTCACTCAACTCATGTCATATGTATATTCCCAGGTGTACATGAATCCTGTAAGCATGGACAGTGGCAAACTTGCTTTCTTGTTTCTTGCATCTTTTTTTTTTTTTTTTTTGCGACGGGGTCGCCCTCTCTCGCCCAGGCTAGACTGCAGTGGCGCAATCTCGGCTCACGGCAAGCTCCGCCTCCCGGGTTCACGCCATTCTCCTGCCTCAGCCTCCCGAGTAGCTGGGACTACAGGCGCCCGCCACTACGCCTGGTTAATTTTTTGTATTTTTAGTAGAGACGGGGTTTCACCGTGTTAGTCAGGATGGTCTTGATGTCCTGACCTCGTGATCCGCCCGCCTCGGCCTCCCAAGCTTTCTTATATCTTCAGTCACAAGGACACAAACCAAGACATCTCAATGTAGATGACATCATTTGATGACAGGAAAGGAAAACTAGAACGAGACCAACCTCTTGTGTATCTTTATTTTAGATTGGAGAGTCACTGCTTGGGGGCGTGGGAGAAAAGTAACTGTTGAGAATGGTCATGAATATAAGCTTTTCTACTGGATCACAGTAGAGATGCTGGGGAAAGGCTGTTATATGCATCTTTCTGTCTTTCAGACATCTTTGTCCTGTACACAAAAAATATTTCCTGTGTTCAAACCAATTCAGAAACATAGTTTTTCTCATGATGTCTTTGTATCTACGTAGAATTCATATATCTATATTAGATTTCTCTCATTGTTTTAGGTGGTCTATAAAAGCTGAAATTTATTGAATTTCTTCATTAGATTTATTTTCCACTGTGAAAAATTAGAAATGTTATTTTTAAAATAATGCTTGTTATGCTTTATTTTAGGCATTATAAATAAAATTACTATTGTTCTAAAATTCTTAATTTGCTTAGCTATTCAAATAAAAGCCTTATACTCATGAGAAAAATTCATGATTGATGCACTCACTTAAGAAACATTAGCTGATGTTTTGCATATGGAAGGATTGTTGTATTTTAAGGTCTTCAGGAGAGACCTAGAGAATTCATTCTCCAGATATTCTGATTTACGATTCTTCACTACCTCGAATATGGAGGTTTTGCACTAGGATCCTTTGCATTCTGTGTCCCAGATCCTATTTTTCTACCTCCTGTCAAAGCATTTCCTAATACGGGGTCAAAGCATTTCTTAATACAGGGTCTGAACTAGGTGAAATGCATACACTTCTGAATCCTATTATGCCATCCAGGAACTGCTGTCCTCATTGTTATCTAGCCACACATTTCTTCCCATACTTCCCTGACTTCACTGATGTTAACCAGGACACATAAACATGTCATTTTGCTTTTTGGATTGCATTTGGAGCTTTAACACAAATCTAAATACCTGCACCAACTAAAGCACTGATTAATCTGGATCTCCTTTAACAAAGAGAGTGCCTGGAAAGATGAGGCAAAGCAAGGGTGTGGCAGATTATCAACCAAAAATTCAAATCTTTTCCAATTCAGTGGAAAGTGGAGCTTGAGAGAGATGCACAAGCACAGCTGTGATGAACTCAGTAGGCCAGTGAATGCCAGCAGCGCTTTCTACAACAGCACTAAGAAAATCAATTATCTCCACCATGGAAAACACATGGAACAGAAATGTTTCAATGTTTCTCTCTTTCCTCTCCCCTCCCCTTTGTTGTGCGGCTTTATGTGTGATTTTCTTTTTGAAGCCAGCAAGATGCTTTATTTTTAGGGACATTTTCTAGATTTCAAATCACTGTAAAGCCATTTAAAAACTACTTGTGATAATAGAACTACCAATACAACTGTAAAATACAATGCAGGTCTTCTTTATTATTCCCAGAGAGGTTGATCAGTTCACTCAGTTGATAAAGGTAAAACCACATTTGAAGAGTTGTGTTTCCTTTAAAAGAATTTGAACAAATACTAGTATGTGCATAGTAGAGCCAAAAATATGGTTGAAAAAGTCATGTTGTACTTGCAGGACTTAAACATATTTAACCATAGATATGTCCAGGATTGAGGCAAATTACACTGGCAGTGGGACATGATAGTCCAGTTTTTGAGTGATTATATGACCAAGTCTTCAAGACCCTTTTCTTTAATTTCCCCTTAGTCCCCAAGGTAGAGTTCATTGACCCCTTGTTTTTTTCTTATAGAACCATTTTAATAACCATTTCTTTTTAGCCTGGAAATTTCACTTTTGTACAAGATTTATATTTTCTTGACATTTAGTAAAATAAAGTTTTAGTAAAATTTAGTTAGGAAACACGAAGTATCTCAATTCCTATCTATTCTTTGTTATTAAACTTAAGGCTCTAAATTTTTATCTTTGTATTTTGCAACTGAAAAGTATCCCAAGAATGAACAGAAAGTTTAAAGAGGTTACATGACTCTCAAAATTACTCATTGGAATTGTAAATAACTAAAAATTTTCACTTTTGTACAAAATCCATATTTTCTTGACATTTAGTAAAGTAAAGTTCCAGTAAAATTTAGTTAGAAAAAACTGAGTATCTTGATTCCTACCTATTCTTTGCTATTAAAGCTAAGGCTCTGAATTTTTGTCTTTGTGTTTTGCAGCTGGGAAGTATCCCAAGATTGAACAGAAAGTTCAAAGAGGTTCCATGACCCTCAAAATAATTCATTGCAACTGGAACTGACTAGCACACTTTACAAATATTTTCACCATGCTTTCCACTAATCACTGATTGTGGTAAAGATATTTTTACGCAATTTAGAAGTGTGGTAAATACAAATCTGACACTTAATTTTGTATGTTTTCTAATGAGGCATTGTGAAAGGATGAAAAAAATGATAATGTTATGGAGTTAATGGCCAATTTACAAAAATTACCATTCTGATTTTTGTCTTGTCATTAATCTTTGAGTAATTTTCAGTATTGTATTTAAGTAAAAGTCCACTACTTTACACTTAATGAAGTACAATCTTAGGGCATGCAAAAGAGTTCACATATGTGTTTTTGTGTGTTTGCGTGTGTATATGTTTATATACCCCCCACATATATATGTATAATTAAATACGTATGTATATACTTTTAAAAGCTGACAAAAATTCAAGCAAGTAAAAATTTCTAGGAAACTTCCTTAATATACATGTAAGATAACTTGTATTTGTTATATCAATGTTGCTTCACATAAGTAGATAAGTAGCTATGAGTTTTTGCTTATGTAGACATAAACATGTCACCTGAAATCTTATTTAACATAACAGACTATTAATCATTGAAAGGGAAACTACTGGTAAGCCTCTACTTGAATTGTGAAACTTTCTGAAGTATTGTAAGCATGTTCTCTTGAACGAAGTTCTGATATACTTATATTTTAATTATAGCTTTATTTACTATCATAATTATTATTGTAATTATATTTGAAAATTCATAGGAAATTGAAATTCATCTCCTTACCTAATCTCATTCCTGAATAGTGTGATTACTTTATAAATTTACCACAGGGGTGACACAGAAACTGGGATGCCACATCGTGAAGCAGCTCAGGCGTTCCCTGTTGAGTCTTCAGTTAACTTAATCATTCTCAGGGTTGAAGCTCCACTCTGCAAATCCCACTAGACTCTCTATCAAATATAATTTGTCATCTGAGTCATCCTTAGGAATTTTCAGCAATATCCAACACAGCTGTAACAGCTCTTCAGATGTAGCCAATTCTGTGTAAAGATAAAAGGAAGGCCCAAATCACGATCTTCTGATAGATACATGAAATAGGTCAAAGCCAAACAGGGAATCTACATGCTTCAAATGGAGACTGATTTTTAATTCCTATCAATATCTTTTCTATTCAGATACACAATGGGGGCTCAGATTTAGGATCTTTGATTCCAAATAATTCTTAAGTACACAAAAATTGAAAGCCTCCTCATCAGGCTCCCTTGCCTAAAATAAACAGACATAAACAGACCTTTCTGTGTTTAACTTGCCATGACTATTAAATTGTCTACTAAATTGTCTAAAGCCTTCATTTTTGTCTGTACATTAAATCATGTTTAAAGAACTCTACATTTAGGTATGTTCTTGGTATATGTTCTTGGAGGAAGGAGGCCACAGCAAATAGTCTCCTTTCGTTCCCAAGGATTCAAGTGTTGCCCTCTGGAGTCTTGGCTTTCTTGTGGCAATGTCCGTTTTAGAAGCATTGTTTTGTATTTCTTTATGTACTTATTTTACTCCTCTTTGTAACCTTTTTTGTTTCCTACCCTCACCCACTTTTAAAAATCATGAACAGTAGTAAACACAGTCCCTTGTACATAATGAATACTGATCAATGTAACGAAGACTGACTGAATTAGGATGGCATTAAATAGTATTTAAAATATTACGTGTTTAATAATATAAGCATTTCTTAAAAAAATCAATATAGGACCCAGACCATGGATCAGTTTCTGCTCTTCACCTCTTTATTTTATAGATATCAGATATATTTCATAAAGTGATTAAGGTGAAACATATGACTCATGAAAATAAACTAGTCCAAGTAGAAAGTCTTCACATAAAAATTATGCCATATTGATTATTCAAAGTGCTAACCTTTGGATAATAATACTAAATAGATTAATATAATTTGATTTCTATTATTTCATGTCCAGCCACTCTCTCTATTTCTCAACCCAAACCCAGCAGGATACAAAACACTATTTTAGATAATTCTTGATATGCAATTCATCTTGATCCAAGAACTATCTTCTTAGTAAATCAAATGGCTCTTTTTTTTTTTTTTTTCCAATACCTACTCTACATTTCTGGGTTTCTATACCTTTGCATATACTGTCTTTCTGTCTAAAATGATTGTTCCTCATTCTGTATGTTCAAATCCTATTTTGAAGATTCTACCCAAAGATCAACTAATCTACAAAATCTTTCTGATCCTCCCTGTTAAAATCATTTTGCTCTTCTTCTAATTTACCTTACCTTTCCTATGCCTCTTAGTTTATTTTAATTTACATCTTTTTATGTCGTTTACTAGGCTGAAAGCTACTCCAGGGAAAAACTAAGGTTTATCTTTCATTTTATACTCCATCGTAGCTATTACATGGCCTTGTGCATAGTAGGAAATTAATAAGAATCAAATGGCGAATGATTTAAAATATGAAACACTTAATCCAGAAAAACACATTTGAAGTAATCTATTTCCTTTGTATCCTTTAGAACTCATGGTAATTTTCAATAAGTTAATTATTTCCAGTATTTCCATCACTCTTAAAAAAGAAGGTCACTCTTTCCAGCATAGGAAGTCTTTGGATTTATAATCGATTTAAAAAACTTCCAGATGTTATGAATTTATTTATAAAATAGAAAAAATAAACAATAGAACTAGTTAGGAAATAAATTGAAAGCAGTCAAACTCTGTGTTCACCACAAGTATTACAAGTCAGAGACCATTAGAAAAATTTATAAAATAGAAAGAAATACAGGTAATTTACCAAGGATCATGAAAGAGAATGACAGAAAAGCCAAAAGTTAATTTCAAAATGAATTGAAATAATTGAACTAGAAATGCATCATAATTTTAATTTATTTTTATTTTAGGGTAAAAAGAAAAAAAATGACATATAAATAAGCATCATGAAATTAAAATGCTTCAAAGAGGAATTATCACACTTTTTGTTTAAATTGTTTTCATTTTTCTTGACTCAATTTCCTTACAGTGAAATTTTTAAAAGGAAAAAACTGTGCAAAATGTCAAATAAAAAAAGAAAAAATACAAATCAAAATACTGAAAATTCCTTACCTTCCCACAAATACAGACACCCCACATGTAATGTAAGACAAATGTCTAAAGCTTTATATTTTATTGCTTGATTTATTAGCTTCAATTCCCATGAGAATTGTGGGAACTTCAATCTGTTTAGTTGAGCATGCTAAGGAGACATACAAGGCAGGTAATAGTATTCTAGAGTGGTCCCTTTATGTGTAGAAATTGTAATCTATTTTTTGGTTGTTCAGGGCAAGGTTAGCTGCAAAGTGGACAACCACATTGACCTAGATTCAGCATCAGGGGTGTGTCGCCATGGATTGTATCCTGGTGCCCAGCTAAAACAGTCACTTCTAAAATTTTAGTTAGGGTGTGGCTGGCGGTGTTAGATCAACAGCTGAAGGCTAGCTGTTGGAGGTAATGTGTGATCAAACTGGGTAGGATTGTGTGAGATTTCCCTGACCCTTCCCATTTCCTAACTTGAAGTTGTGCAAGTGACATACTTTTTATGGAGAGGAAGGGGAGAAAAAAAGTACATTCGCTGGTTATTTGTTATGATGACTAACTAGAAAGAAATAAGTAGCTAAAATAAGGCTCTTGAATTATTTTATGATACCAATATTTCCCATTCAAAATATGATCGAGAACTGTTTGATCTTTTGTTATCACATAGATTTAGAGGTGAAAAAAGATACATCTTGGAAGATTTCATCGAAATTAACATCAAGCTGAAGAAGATAATTTTATAGCTGCACTTTTTGCTATAGCAAACACCAGGGCAAAATATGGCCAGACAGTCAACTGGGACAGCATGACACATCACTGGAAAAAATGATTGTTGAGTACAAAATTACGAGAAAAGTAAAATCATTGTTGAAGCCACGTTAGCATACTCTGCTCAAATTATATCTGATTCTCTAGACACGTCTTTTGGAAGATTCCCCAAAACAAAAGCAGAGGAATTACATAAATGGTTTTACAGGCCAACCTTTCTGATTTAGTGTGCTGTAAGTTGCTTACAATGTTTCTCCAAGTAGGGGATCCAGGAAAATTCCTAGGGGTTGTGGATTTTGGAATTTCACCAAGTCCTTAATGATTGCAGCCCACTAGTTAGCAAAATCCTTCCTAGCTGTTATTAAGAAGAAAGTATGACAAGGCAACCAGAGGAAACAACAGCAGCAGTGATAGCCAGTCAACATCTCCAGTGCCTATATGTACCCATCACGGTGTGTGTCAGCTTTCTTCACTGTTATTCCCACCACTACATTGCTGTAGTTAACTTTTCTTCTGCTTCACTAGAAATAAGGATAATGCTTCTCATTTCTTCTTCTCAAAAGTTTAGAATTTAGGGACAATGGGCACCAAAATTTTGGGTAAAGATATTTTACAATATTAAAGAAGAATACCTAAATATGGATCATATTGAATGGCTGCATTCCAAAAGTGCTTCATTTATGTTCTGATAGTTATAATAATTTGCTCATAATTATTACTTTATGTTTTCTGCAAGACTGGAAGCTCCTCGGGGAAAGAGTTGCGTCTGTTTTGGTGGTCACTGTTTCTTTAGCACCTAGCAAGCAGTCCAAAAGGGCAGACATTTGGTAAGGACCTGTTGACTGATGAGATGCTGAGATTCTAGTCAAATATGGATGATTCAAAGTTTTCTGGCAATATCATTATTTGTCCAATCTATTTTATATAATTTAAGTTTAAATTAACCCCCCCCCCCAATTTTCAACCTTGAGTTGTGGTTTTATAAGAAAATTATCATTTTATAATAAAAGTATCCATGTGTGAAATCTTAGGACATTTTTCTTCATTTTTTTTTAACTTCCAAATTAAAATCCCTGCCAAGTGAAAGAAACACAAGGAAACTCAAATAATTTGCCAGAGTCAAGTTTATTAACATTTTCCCAAAGCCTATCTTATTTGAACTGTTTATTTTGGATCCCTATCCAAGAGATAATTTTTTTTCCCAAAAGCTTATAAGAAAAAGCTTGGCTTGCAAATGTTAGTTTGCATAGATAAAGGCAAAAAATGGGGTTGAGTGAAGAAGAGGAAGAGAGTCTTTCACAATTAAAGTAGTCTCAGAAATGGTTTTTGACTGTGCGATTTAAGTAGTTAGCCCTAAAAAGTGTCATGCAGAGAGCTTCAATCATCTCAAAATAAAATCTGAGAAATATTAAATATCTAATGTCTGATGCAGTTCCTGGCATGTTAGTTGCTCAGCAAATGTGTATCTAATGGTGAATTATGAAATGGGCTACATATGTTGATTTTCTTAGTATAAAAAAGTTGTTATGAAAAAATAATTGTAGTTTTTTTATAATTAAAACAATAAAGCATTTCTGAATAATCATAGCTATACACACACATGTACACATATATAAACTTAGAATAGGGCTCGTGCATACTAGGTACTATACACTCACACACAAACACACTCACATACACACACAGAAAGTACCCTCATCACATTCTTATGAATGTGTACTACTTTCATATGTTTTTTTTAAATGAGTAAACTGATTTGTCTAAGATTACACACTTGGTAAATGCCAGAGCCAAGATGCTAATCCAGGAAGTCTGGTTCTGGAATCCATTCTTTTAATCCCAATATATTGTGTGAATTTAATACCCCTATGCTTTTAAATATGTCAAAACTATATATTCAAATAAGTGGTTTCCTCTTTGATGGAATAATTTTGAGTAACTACATTTTGTTCAATTTTTTCTCAATTACTTATTTGTTCAAAACATATTATTGTCGTGTTCCTATAGGTGGAATCATTGAGGGTAGGCTTAATTGTTTTTAAATGCCAAAAACAATTTGTTGCAAGTTGTGGTTTGACATTGCATCAAAAAATATGAATACATAGTAATGATTCTGATTTTTTGAATGTCTCATAAAATGATCCTAAAGGAAATTCCATAGAGTAGTTCCAAAAGTGTTTTTGAAAAATATGTGAGGATCCAGTCAAACATACATTCTTTCTGTTGTGATTACAAAAATAAAAGTAAATAATAGAAAAGAGAAAAACTCAGTACTCTATGACATTTAAAAGTCAATGGAAAGCTCCTTTAAATTTATCGTTTTGAATTGAGATGGTGTGACCGTACGATGGAATACAAAAGATCTGAATGAGTAGACTCACGTTCTTCTACTAAACTAGATTTTTTCATCCTATTTTTATTTTTCTTAAAATCTGTTAGGATAATCCAAGTTTTACTGTAGTCAGTATTAAGCTTAGATTAGTCGAGTAAAGCCAGAAAGTGACAAATCAGGCTTTCCCTCCCCTCAGAGCCCGTCCACGTTGTAAACTGTAAAAATGATCCCACCCTGACAGTGCACAAATGAACACAGTTTCCAACAAAACTTACTTATGTGGCAGGGAGCTGTCCTGAAATGACATACTTAGGCAAGTATTTCCAAAAGGATCATAGGTTTTTCTTTACAACACTGTCCCAGACTTTCCAACATTTCTCAACTTAGACATCTCTTTATCACTTTTTCAAGCTTGATAAATTCCCCAGTTTCTTCAAAGAAAATTTTTTGCTCCAAATAACATTTTAATTGTTATATATACATATAGTTATGTGTATGTACGTATATATGTATATATAATTTATGCAGTGCCAAAAAGGAGTTGAAGAACGTGAAAGACAGTTAAACTGAGGAACATTGTACATTATCAACAGTTAAATAAATAAAGACAGCTAATCAAATTCCAATTTTTATAGTATTTAAGTTTTAGTCATTAATGATTTGATAGATGTGTCATTTACTCTCACTTTATAGATTTGGGTTTTCAAGGGTATTATCCACTTTGTACATACTGCCTCCAAATTACTTTCCAACCATTTAAGTAAGTGCCTCCATGCAGACAGTGGTATAATTTACAGCTCAAACAATTTTCCTTCAATTAGTTAAGTATGCTATTCAAATACATACTGTATGCAAAGCACCATACTGAGTTTGTCAGGATAGAAACAGAAAAGCAATGCATAAGCCCTAGCCTTAAATCCATTATAATCTAGTTAATATTAAACAGATTATTTGGCTACTCGGTATAAATTCTCTCACTTATAAAGTGGTAAATTTAAACATGATGTAACACTTATTTGTGTAAAGAAGAGTGAATGTACTTAAAATGATAGGGCATAAATTGCAAAGTTACTACCATATGCTTGGACAATTCTGCATGTTTGAGACTAAGCAGAGATGCTCAAGGTACTTCCTGATACTGCAGGGTTCATGTTAGTGAATTTGGGCAAAGCTCATATTATCCCTTGCCAGGTAAGTTAAGACCTCTTGGTGAAATGATATTGAAGAAAGATGTATAAAATTATTTTACTAATATTTCTGTAGAATTATGATTAGTAGACATAGCAAAAATTCAAATCAAGTTTGTAGGTAAGACAAGGTGACACGTTGCATGATAGCCTTAAGATTAAAAGAAAAAAACTTTTTGTTGTTCTATTAGACTAATAAAGTTGTACAAGAGATAAATGCAAAATCGTTGGTAGAAAAGTTGATTGCACAAGAATATGGTGAAGAGAAATATGGCTGCACAGTATTAGTTGATATAAAAAAATTAGATGGGTTTCAGATCAGTTTTTCTATGAGATAAAGTAAGAAATAGGATAGATAAAGGCACTGTAAAAGGTAGACTAGTTTTTCTTTTTTATGTACAGATCATAATCCTAGTACCCTTAAAATATTCAAAGTTAGAGCAAGCACATCTACAAAAGCCTGAATATACCCTATCCCACAGTTCTGTCGATAACGTTTACCAGTAAAAGTGGAATGTTATATACTACACAAGGAAGACAGGCAATTTTGTAATGCATGTGAGGAAGGCTTTATCTAAATGGATATTTTGGCAGTAATACAGGTAACCTTTATTTTAAGGTAAAGGATACCTTTCCTTTTCTCTTCCCTTGCCTTCCCTTTCCTTGCCTCCCTTCCCCTCCTCTCCTCTCCCTTTCCTCCCTCCCTCCCTTCCTTCCTTCCCTCCTTCCTTCTTGCCTGCCTGCTTGCCTATTTGCCTGCCTGCCTTCCATTCCTCCTTCTCCTTGTCCTTCTTCTATTCCTTCTTTATTATCCTATGATATTTTTTCTTTTTTAAAATTTATTTTATATTTCAATAGGTTTTGGGGGAACAGGTGGTGTTTGATTACATGAATAAGTTGTTTAGTGGTGATTTCTGAGATTTTAGTGCACCCATCACCCAAGCAGTGCAAACTGTACTCAATGTTGTAGTCTTTTATCCCTCATCCCACTCCCACCATTTCCCCCTAGTCCCCAAAGTCCATTGTATCATTCTTATGCCTTTGCGTCCTCATAGCTTAGCTCCCAATTATGAGTGAGAACACACGATGTTTGGTTTTCCATTCCCGAGTTACTTCATTTAAAAAATAGTCTCCAATTCCACCTAGGTTGCTACAAATGCCATTATTCCATTCCTTTTTATGGCTGAGTAGTATTCCACGGTATATACATAATACACTTTCTTTATCCACTCATTGATTGATGGGCATTTGGGCTTGTTCTATATTTTTGTAATTGCAAATTGTGCTGCCATAAACGTGTGTGCAAGTATCTTTTTGGTATAATGACTTCTTTTCCTCTGGATAGATACTACATAGTGGGAATGCTGGATCAAATGGTAGATCTACTTTTAGCTTTTTAAGGAATCTCCACACTGGTTCCCATAGTGGTTGTACTAGTTTACATTCCCACCAACAATGTAAAAGTGTTCCCTTTTCAACGCATCCATGCCTATGTCTGTTATTTTTTGGTTTTTTGATTATGGCCATTCTTGTAGGAGTGAGGTGGTATTGCATTGTGGTTTTGATTTGCATTTTCCTGATAATTAATGTTGTTGAGCATT
Organism: Homo sapiens; assembly: GCF_000001405.40. Classification (NCBI taxonomy): domain Eukaryota; kingdom Metazoa; phylum Chordata; class Mammalia; order Primates; family Hominidae; genus Homo; species Homo sapiens. The sequence goes on along the minus strand of NW_025791764.1, from coordinate 66,405 downwards.
TTTCCATATGCTTGTTGGCCATTTGTATATCTTCTTTTGAGAATTGTCTATTCATGTCCTTAGCCCACTTTTTGATGGGATTGCTTGTTTTTTTTCTTGCTGATTTATTTGAGTTATTTGTAGATTCTGGATATTAGTCCTTGGTCAGATGTACAGATTATGAAGATTTTCTCCCATTCTGTGGGTTGTCTGTTAACTCTGCTGATTATTTCTTTTCCTTTGCATAATCTTTTTAGCTTAATTAAGTCCCATTTTTAATTTTTGTTTTTGTTGCATTTGCTTTTGGGTTCTTTGTCATGAAGTCTTTGCCTAAGACACTATTTCACAGGAAAAGAAAAGAAGGAACCCCCCCTAAATCATTCTATGAAGCCGGTATAACCCTAATACCAAAACCAGAGAAGAACATAACAAAAAAAGAAAACTTCAGACTAATATCCCTGATGTACATAGATGCAAAAATCCTCAACAAATTACTAGCTAACCAAATCCAACAGCATATCAAAAAGATAATCCACCATGATCAAGTGGTTTTCATACCAGGGATGCAGGGATGGTTTAACATTTGCAAGTCAATAAATGTGGTACACCACATAAACAGAAATAAAAAACAAAAATCAGCTGATCATCTCAGTAGATGCAGAAAAAGTATTTGACAAAATCCAGCATCACTTGATGATTAAAACCCTCAGCAAAATTGACAGAGAAGCGACATAAGTTAAGGTAATAAAAGCCATCTATGACAAACCCACAGCCAACATTATACTGAATGGGGGAAAAGTTGAAAGCATTCCCCCTGGGAGCTGGAACAAGACAAGGATGCCAACCTTCACCATTTCTATTCAACATAGTACTGGAAGTTCTAGCCAGAGCAATCAGACAAGACAAAGAAACCAAGGGCATCCAAATTGGTAAAGAGGAAGTCAAATTATCACTGTTTGCTGATGATATGATTCTAAACCTAGAAAACCCTAAAACTGATCCAAAAAGCTCCTAGAACTGGTAAATGAATTCAGCAAAATCTCAGGATACAAAATTAATGAATGCAAATCAGTAGCTCTGTTATACACCAACAGCAACCAAGCTAAAAATCAAATAAAGAACTCAATCCCTTTTACAATAGCTGCAAAAAATAAAATAAAATAAAATAAAATACTTAGGAATATACCTAACCAAGGAGGTGAAAGAGCTCTACAAGGAAAACTACAAAACACTGATGAAAGAAATCATAGATGACACAAACAAATGAAAACACAACCCATGCTCATGGATGGGTAAAATCAATATTGTGAAAATGACCATACCACCAAAGCAATCTACAAGTTCAATGCAATTCCCATCAAAATACCACCATCATTATAGAGAACTAGAAAAAACAATCCTAAAATTCATGTTGAACCAAAAAACAGCCCATATAGTCAAAGCAAGACTAAGCAAAAAGAACAAATCTGAAGGCATCACATTACCTGACTTCAAACTATACTATAAGGCCATAGTCACCAAAACAGCGTGGTACTCATAAAAATTGGGACATAGACCAATGGAACAGAATAGAGAACCCAGAAATGAAGCCAAATATTTTCAGTCAATGATCTTCAACAAAGCAAACAAAACCCTGAAGTAGGGAAAGGGCACCCTATTCAACACATGGTGCTGGGATAATTGGAAAGCCACATGTAGAAGAATGAAACTGGATTCTCATCTCTAATCTTATACAAAAATGAGCTCAAGATGGATCAAAGACTTAAATCTAAGACCTGAAACCATATTCTATTATTTTAATTACCAACGTATCCTTACTTATATATTGGGCGTATCCTTACTTATTTATTGGGCAAATCGTTGCCTAGGGCTTTTGCACTTGCTGATTCTGCCACCTGGATCACTCCTTCCCAATGGCTTCATGGTTTGCTTGCTCATCTTCTTCAGGTCTTTGCTTAAATATAACCCTAGGGAGTACTCTTTTCTTTCATTTAAAATGGCATATTCTTATCAGCACTCTTCCTTCTCTATCCTGCTTTATTTTTCTTCTCACTACTTATGATTCTTTGATATACTATCTATTTAACCTCTTTTTATGTTATTCTCTCTCCAACTGGCTTAAAAGAACTTATAAACATTGTTTGCTTTGTTCTCTTTTGCAGCACCAGTAGCTAGTTTCAGTCCCCAATATGGGACATGGTAGGTCATAAACAAATATTTTTAAAATAAATGAATCACAAAATAAACTCAAACATTGACTTCACTTCTGATTTCTTTTCCAATTGTTAAGCCATATATCCAACTGTTTACTAAATACATCCACTTGAATGTCTCATGGGCAACTTAAATTCCATGTTATAAACGTATTCGTTGTTTCAAATCTACGCACATCACTACCCCAGAGATCGTCACTATAGTCTACCTTCTGTCTAGATTTATGAAACATCTTCCAAGTTTCTAGCCCTGTTTCCAGTTTTTAAAAAATATTTATTCTCTTTACTTTCTTGAGAAATTGTTCTAAAATCCAAGTCTCATCCTTCTACTCTCCAATTCATAAATTGTCAATGGCATTTCACCACCCATAGGATAAAAATTTACACCTTAAGGATTACCTAATTCTTCCTCATCTCACTTTGTTGTCTCAGATTTCAACATGCTAGTCTTCATTCTGACCATGCTGAACGAGTTTAAGTTCCTCAAAACTGATCACCTTCTTTCTTAACCTCCAGATAATCAAATATATTCTACTTGACACTCTTCCCACAACCCACTTTATCAGACTATCTCCTATCCATTTTTCATTGTCAGATAGCCATAGTGTGGGAAGTTTTCTCTGAAGTGTAGAAAAGTCAGTTGTTTCTCATATGCACCTACACTTTCTCAAAACAGTCATCATGCTATTTAAATTGATGATTTCTCTGTTAATTTTAATAGAGTCTAAGAATCAAGCAGATAGTCATCTTGTTTGTTTCACTCACACCTAGATCCCTAAAGGTCAGCATAGCCCCTAGCTTCTAGTATGTGCTTGATATTTGTTGAAAGTAAAAGCGAGAAAGAGTAAGAATGAATGGAAGGGAGGATGTGGAATTAGATTTTATTGTTTTAAAAGAAGATCAGCTTAGATTACCCATGGAAATAAACTTTCTTAAAGTTTTTCATTGGATAATAAAATCATGTCTAAAATGCAGCAAAGAGTATTTCAACAGTTATGTTTAAGTCATTCTCTTGTTTAAATAACCCAATATTCTCCATAGCCCATAACAGGTGCTAAATAAATATCTGAAAATTAACACACAAGACAGATAGCTAGAGGTAAACTTTGTGAGTATGCGTAGATTGTTTGTTCAATACATTTACTGTATTTTAGCAAGAGCATTCAAAATGTCCTCCAGGTCAGGACATGGTCCAGCCAGCCTTGTATTCACCAAGAGACTGACAGTGACATCACAGGTAGAAATGGATGTATTGATTCTCAAAGGCTGTCTCAATATGTGTTTGTCTCTTGCAACTGCAATATGTCTCTTGCTATTTTAATCAAGTAATTCTAAACTATTTTTATCTTAATTATCTTATTATCAGAATTACTATTAAATTGCTTACATCTTCAGGCAGCATCAACTATTGGGCAATCAAGTTATTAGTCACTGTGTTAAATAAGTGTTCTCAGTTGTTCTAAAACTACCTATTCAAAGCTTTCTGAGGTGCCCAAAACTTCAAATATTTTTGGACTTCCCAAACAACTCCAAACCACCAAAGGCTTAGCGTCTCTTCTTGTTTTCCTTAACTTTGCTCAAATTTCTTATCTGCTTTTGCCTTTCAAGGAAACAGAGGCAAATATTTCCAAACAGTCTGCATGGACCTGGAAGCCCTGTGTGGACCTGACATCTCCATTTATAAAGACAGTAACATTAAATAGGTAAAATAGATAGTATATCAAAGGGTCGTAACTGGTGAGAAGAAAAATAAAGCAGGAAAGAGAAGGTAAAGGGCTGGTAAGAATACGCTATTTTAAATGGAACAAAAATCACCCATTAGAGTGATACAGATAGAGTGGGGTAGACTCTCAAGGATGTATAGACCAATAAGAAGCTTTTTGTTTGTGCACTTTTCTCAAAACCAAAACACCAATTTGAAAAAAAAAGTTGGAAACGTGGGTGAAGAAAGAGGGAGGAACCAGTTTGAGCCTGAGAAACTGCCGCCAAGACCTGTGTATTATTTTTCCTTGTCAAAACGTTATTGCCATCTTTCAGAACTCTGCTAAGAATTTGGAATTCAACTCTTTACTGAGTCTGCCACGTGTTACAATTCTCCTCAGACTATGAGTTAATACAGAAGGATAACAGACCATCTGGTATTATTAGAGAACTGAACTTGATCTTCATGCTTAAGACAAATCACTGATGAGAATCTCTCATATGTTAGTAAATAGAACTTTCTCTTTCATACCACATTAACAAAATTATATACGCACTGAAAAAGCAAAACAACAACAACAATTTAAAAATAGAGCTTACACAGGAACTTTTTGTTTTTTTATTTTTATTGTGCCTGGAATTTTTTTATTTCCCACAGTCAAAATATCTTAATCACATTTTAATGTAATACTTTTCTTATAGTTCTGCTTAGATATTTATGACTAAGACAACTATTTTCTAACTAAATGAAAGGGTAATATGTGGGAAGGAGAATTAAGTTATGAAATGCTAAGAAAATGAAATTTAATCAAATTTTATTATTTAAATCCAAGTGTCTGATATGGTTACTTATTGTTTTTCTGCTTTATCCTCAATTACCAAAATGATTTGATAGTATGTTGGATTCACCTCAAAACTTTCAATTTATTGCAATGTAATTTCTAGAATTAAGATGCGACTAACAAAACTTGATATATGAAAGTGAGATATTAGAAGTAAGGGGAAAGAATGTGTAATTAACATATAACATAACTTGGAGGAGGAATTGAGTCAGAATTGAATTTTCATATAGAAAAAGTATTGAACAAGTTTGTGATGTATGAGCCAGAAGTGCTGACTGGGTTAGGAGTGCAATAGAGGAAAGGAAGAAGAGATTTGGGAAACATGTATTAGGTGCTCCTATTTTATTTTATACCCGTAATTTGAATATTATTATTGAATTTCTATGAATTCTTCAGGTAATAAATAATCTAGTATAATAAGTACACTCTCTAGCAAAACTCAAGTGAGGAATATGAACGAAAAAACCTATTAGCTAAGTACAGGTTTTTTTCTTATATTTGACCACATTCATACCATTAGGAAGAATAGGCATGCATTGTATTTACTGTAACCTACATAAACTACTTGTTTTTCTCAACACATAACCTTTTATTTATATATCCCATGAAAGATATATACTGTTGCAGAGCAGAAGCAATGGTTTATAAACAAAAAAGATGGCAGCGCACTCTTTTCTTTCTTTTTCTCTCTTTCTTCTTCCTTTCTTTCCCTTTTTCTTTCTCTTTCTTCTTTCTTTCTCCTTCCCCTCCCCTTCCTTCCTTTCCCTTTCTTTCTCTTTCTTTCCTTTCTGTTTTTTTCTTTCTCTCTCTCTTGCTGTCTCTCTCTCTTGCTCTCTCTTTCTCTCTTTCCTTATCTCTCTCTTTCTTTCTGTGTTATGCGATATGATTACTGAGAGAAAATAAGAAAAGCACATGTTTCTTGAACTTTAATCCACAGATAAATTATCAGAAGTCAATGAGTTCTCTATGACACTTTTATATTTTTGTGTCTTTATTTTGATGATGCACAACCATGCATACATATATTTATACTTCAGAAATACATACCAGTCTTTTATCACCAAGTAGTGACAAACAGTAACAAAATTCAAATGCTGTCATGGCTTGCTATATGAAATTTCACTGTAGTTCAAAAAGACTAGTGGTAGAACAACTTGAGGTGAGAATAAGGTGGGAGTCATAAGGGGAGAGAATGACATTTTCTTCAGTATACCCTTTGTATAATTGTGGCATTTGAAACTGTGTAAGTCTACATTTATTTTAGAAATAAATTAATAGAAGTGTGAAAGGGGAAATATAACTAAAAAACTGAAAGAACACTGAAACAAATGGATCTAATTGCATTTCAGTTGAATATCATAACCACGAGGAAGGGAAATAAATTAAATGACAAACTAATCAAAGTAACTCATGAATATGGTATTTAAATATATATCCTCATTCAAGAAGAGATAGCAATAGCAACGAACTCACTTGATGCCCTTGTTTTGTTCTCTGTTACTTCTCTTCATTAAAATGAACCAGGACACCTTGAAGACAGACACCTAATAGCAGGGCTGAGGTATGGTAGGTTCAAGATGATTGTGGCCCTTCTTGTTAGGCTTGAAAGTAAGGAAGTATAAAAAAAAAATGGACGTGTATCATAAGGATACAGGTACCAGGCTGAAGGGGCTCTGATTGGCCAAATCTAGGAGAATTTGAGCACCAAAATAATTACATACCTTAATTAATTATAATCTTCTGAACAAATGGTAATTTATAAATAGAGAAATAAATAAATGGAGAAAAGAGACATCTTCCTTAAAGTAAATATTGAGGACTAACTGACAAATATGGAGGAAATGTTAGACTTGGAAAATAATCGTTTGGTAAATATGTAATATATGGATTTAGGCAGGCTCATGACTGTGCTAACCTTAGAAAGAACTTTTCATTAGGAGAATATATGCATTGTCTTAAAGTGTCACCCAAAGGCTGCATATTAATTTCAATGGAGAAAAAAATCAGTAATTATTCAATGGAGATTTGAGCACTCTATTGTGACCAGGTGATCAAAAATTTAACAGCATCAGTGAGGAAGAGATGGACAACATGTACCTTCAGATGTGATAATTTAGAAAGACATAAAATCAAGTATGTAGTGTTCTAGGTGAGAATACATAACCATAATCCAATCATGAGGAAACATCAAATACAAAAATAAAGAAAAATTTGAGTCTAAAAGGTGATTTTTATTCTTCAAAGTGTCAATGTCATGAAAGATTTTTTAAAAAACTGTGAAAATGTACCAGATTGAAGGAAAATAAAGATACATGGCAGATAGCACACTATTTTACTCTATACTGGATCCTGTCTGAGAGCAGAAAATGATATAAAAGACATTAATTGATCAACTGATAAAATTAAGGTATAGACAGTAAAATAGTTATAAGAAATGTATCAATATAAACTTACAAAATTGATAATTATACCGGGATTACGTAAGAATACATCTTTATTTTTAGAAAATACACATCAAAGTTTCTAAGGGCAAAGTTTTATGGAGTATGTAATTTGTTATCAAATGGTACAGAAAAAATATATATTAATAGATAGATAAAAACTTACAGAAATAGATTTAAGGCTAATTTTAATAATAATAACTTTAAATATAAATGGACTAAACACCCTTTTAAAAGGTAAAGGTTATCAAACTGGACAAATAAGTGAGCTCAACTAGATGCTGCATATATGAAATTCACAAGATAGAAATAATAAATATAAAGGCAACAACAAATGCAATATCAACCAGGAAAACCACAGGGAAAACAATGAAACCAAAAGCTGGTTTGTGAGGTGACCAATAAAATTGATAACACTCTAGTCTGGCTGATCAGGGGGAAAAAAGAGAGAAGAAACCAATTACCAATATCAGCAATGAGAAGGGTGACATTAGGACAGATATTACAGTTATTAAAATGATGGTAACAGATATTATAAAAACTTTATGTCAGTAAATTTGACAATTTACATGAAATAGGCAAATTCCTTAAAAACCACAAACTATAATCTTTACTCAAGAAGAAACAGACAACCTGAACAGCCATAGGTCTATTAAAAACAATGTTATTGCAGATAAAAAGAAATCTTCCCAGAAAGAAGTTTAATTCTAGGTAACTGATGAATTCAATTAAATAAAGAAGACATAATATCCATACTATATCAACTCATCAATAAAAATAAAACTTATGAGACTTGTGTTCTGTGATCCTAAAATCAGATTAAGATATTACACAAATAGAACATAGCAAGCCCACATGCCTTGTGAACATAGGTGCAAAAATTCTTAACAAAATGATAGCAAATTGAATCCAAGAATACTTCATAAAACATAAAAATCACTGACCAAGTGAGTTTTGTCTGAAGAATACAAAATTTGTTTAAAGTTTGAAAATCAATGTAGTTCATTGTATCAGCAGACTAAAAAATAAAAATACATAATAATCCCAATAGGTGCAGAAATAGCATTTGATGACATCAACCATCCATAAACTTTCAACTTTCTAAGCATATAAGGAAACTTTCTCAACCTGATAGAGTCATCATGAAAAATCTACAGTTAAATATACATTATGATGAAAGACTGAATACTTTTTCTCTAAGATCAGCAAGAAGGCAAGGCTGTTCACTCTCACCACTTCCATTCAATATCATGCAGGATGTCTTTGACAGTGCAATAAGCTAAGAAAATAAAGTCATTTAGACTAGAAAATAAGAAATTGGAACTACTAAGTGAGTTTAGCACACTGCAGGGTAAAAGACAAATATACTAAAATTAATTGTATTTATATATGTCAGCAACTTAAAGTTGGAAAATGAAATTTAAATAAATACCATCTATAGTAACATTAAAATATAAAATACTTAAGAACAAGTCTGAAAAGCAAACACGTGCAAGGCTTGCCTGTGCACTAAAAATTGTAAAATGTAATAATAAAAGATCTAAATAAATGAAAAGGCATATCTTCTTTATAAATTGAAACACATAATAATATTAAGATATCTGTTCTCCTCAAGTTGAACTATAGATTTAATGCCGTCTCAATCAAAATCTTAGCATGATTTGTTTTCAGAAATTGGCGAGCTCATTCTAAGGTTCATATAAAAACACAAAGCACTTAGAATAGACAAAAGAACTTGAAAAAAAGATTCAAGTTGGAAGACAAACTATCTGGCTTCAGGACTTATTTTAAAGTTAAGGTATTCAACACAAATTGATAATGGTTTATGTATAAACAAGTAGATTAATCGAACAGTTACATATTCAATTGATATTCAACAAAAGTGTGAAGTTAATTCCATGAAAAAGAATATAATTGTTTAATTGTTCTGGATTGGATATTCATTTAAAAAACAGAACCTTTCTTCATACCTACCTCCAGATACAAAAAAATAGACTCAAAATAAGTCATAGACCTAAATGTAACACCCCAGACCATAAACTCACTAGAGGAAAATATGAGAACACATTGTTTTAACCTTGGGTTGACTAAATAGACAACACCAGAATCATAATACATAAAAGAAAGTGTTGTAAAATGGAAGGTTATCTAAGTAAAAAACTGGCTCTTGAACAACATTGTTAAGGAATTGAAAAGAGAAGTCACACATCGAAAGAAAATATTTGCAAATTGTATATCTAATAAAAAAAACCCTTGTATCCAGAGTATATATAGAACTCTCAAAACTCAGTAAGACAACAAAGAGCCCAATTAAAAAAAAGCAAAATATTTGAACACTTTTATTAAAGAATATAAATTGATGGTAATAAGTATATTGAAATGATCTTCAACATCATTAATCACTGGAGAAATGCAAATTAGAACAGCAATTTCATAACACTACACACTTATTAGAAAGTCTAAAATTAAAGTGTAAAGTGTTGATGAGGATGCATTGCAACTGAAACTCTTATATGCTATTAGTACAAATGTAAAATGTGTAAAATGATACAACTGCTTTGAAAAACAGCTTTTCAGTTTCTTAAGAAGTTAAACATATACCACATGACCCCGTCATTCTATGTTTAGTATTTACTCAACAGCAAGGAAAGTATATGTCCATACTTATTCATAAATGTTCATAGCAGCTCTATTTATAACAACCAAAGCTGAAAATAATCCACATCTCCAACAATAGGTCAATGGGAAACATATTGTGGAATTTTGTATACAATGGAATATCACTCAGCAATAGAAAGCAATAACTATTGAATCACTCATCAGTCTTGAGGCTCATAGAATAATTACGCTGAATGAAAGAAACCAGACTAAAAGGAGTACTGCTATATGACTCTATTTATGTAAAATTCTATAAAATTCAAACTTATCTATAGACAGTTTGCTTATAGATAGAAGCAAATAAATGATTTTCTGTGGTGGAGGGGATTGGGAGGGGCAGGGAGAGGATTGCAGAGACTTGAGGAAACTTCTGTAGATAATATGTTTATTATGTTGATCGTGGTGATGTTTTCATGGGTGTATACATATGTCAAATCTTATTAGTTTAATCATGTGCAGCTTATTTTATGTTTACTGTATATAAATTAAGCTGTTTAAAAAAGTAAACAAAAACAATATACACAAGTGAAGAAAATGGGGGGATGATCAGTAGACAGGAGACTTCTTGCAAGAGGAAATGTGGATAAATAGTACTCATGGATTAAACAAAATAAATACAGAGGTGCTCTGAGAAAAAGGATCACACTTTGTTTGGTACAGAGAAACTTGGCAGTCTGCTATAGAGGGCTCACATATCCCAACCACACAAAATGCAAAGTGTTAAATGCAATGGCATTTAGGCAAACAGTGAGAGAATAGTTCCTACAATATTTCCCTTGCTTCAGATGCTAGCCACAAAGTTGGGTATCCCAAGACCACCCTTACTTCAGACCAACTGGCTACAAATTTGGGAGTTCCCACGACCACCCTCAGATTCAGTCATTTGCTAGAATAGCTCACAGAACTCAAGAAAATTGTATACTTATGTTTACAGTTTTATTATAATGAAAGTATACAAATTAGAAACAGCTGAAAGAACAGAACATAGGGCAAATCTGGGCGGGTTCTGAAAATGAAGTTTCTGTCATTATCAGGGACACATTACCTTCTTGGTATTGAAGTGTGACAATACTCAAAGAATACAGTTGTCCATTGGTATCTGTGGGGAAACAGTTCAAGGACCTTCTGCAGATACCAAAATGCATAGATACTCAAGTCCCTTATATAAAATGGCATAGAATTTACATATAACCTATGCATATCCACCCATATACTTTAAAACATGTCTAGACTGCTTATAAATACCTAATACAACGTAAATGCTATGCAAATAGTTGTTATATTTTATTGGTTTTTAGTTTGTATTATTTTTATTATTGTATTGCTATTTTTTTCTTAATAAGTTTGATCCACAGTTGGTGGAATTCATGGAAATGGTGGGCCAACTACTGTATTGCCAACCAGGGAAGCTCCCCCTAGTCATTGGTGTTCAGAGTTTGTATTGGGTTTCAATTACATTTTGCCCACATAGCTGACTTTTGGTCTCCATTATCCAGAAGTTTGGTTAGTCTCCATTTTCTCCAGAGGTTGGAACAGTATGTGGTATGTTCCACAGCCTCCACCATAAATTACATTGTTAGGCCGCCTAGTGGCCAAAGCCCCCCGCCCCGCCCCCGGTAAACAAAAACACTCTTAAGACATTGAAGGAACCTAGAGATCACCTCCTAGTAGTTAAGGACAAAGGCCAGACCCCTCTTTGAGTAAAGTTAATTATTCACTGTACACTAAGGAACCTATGAGTTCTTGTACTATGTGATGTTTCTATATGTACAACATTTGGTATATCCTTCACTCAGGATCTAGCACTTAGCACCAAAACAGAGCAACGCATCATTACTCTAAACATCTGTAATTTGAACTGATGAGCGGGGAGCATTCCCGTGACCCCCTTGGCGGGCAGGAGGGAACTGGAGTGGTTCGTTTCACTCAGCCCACAGCTCAGAACCCTTTCGGAAGGGGGAGCATGCAGGTGAGCCAGTGCAGGAGCCAGGGGCGAGCACCTTTGAGTTCCCGCCCCACAGCAGAGTCTAGGGGTGTGTTACAACGCTCCCTTGCTCGGCCGTCGGGGACGGCTGAGTGTTAACCCTCAAGTTCTCGTCTGGCTGTCCTGGACAAATCAGGTCACAGAAACTATTTGAAAGATGAAGAATGTGAAGACTTTATTGAGCAGTAGAGGTGGCTTTCAACGGGATGAGGAGCTGGAAGTGGGAAGGTGGGGTGGAGGGTGGGGGCAGAGAAAATCTTCCCCTGGAATTCAGACACCTCTTCTCTTCTCTCCTTCTCTGTCGTGCCGGTCGGCTGGTCTGCAGCTCTCTGCCCTTCTCTTCTCTGCCACTGTGCTCCTCTATTCCTCTCGACATCCAGTCACTATGTCTGAGCCAGCTAAGGCTTCCGGTGTATATGGCACAGGATAGGGGGCGTGGCAGGACAGAGTGGTCTTGGAAAACGCAACATTCCCGTGCGATAACAAGAGTCCTTGTTCTCATTTAGGTTTGCAGGTACAAACTTGAGGGTGGAGCCCTCACCAGGGACCTCGCTCTTTTCTACCTAGTATTTCCTTGCCCTCTTCCGGTATCATTAACACCATTCAGACCCCAAGGAAACTGTTTCTCCTGCTCTATGTTCTAGAAGCAAAAATCAATCCAGTTTTAATACCTTGAAAATTTTGGTTTGTGTGATGCCAAAGTTGGGGACCTACATACGGTGCTTAGAAGTGTCCAGAGGATTAGAATGGTAGCAGAGCTTAGACAAGACAAAATTCAAAATAATTAATGTATCATCTTCTTCCAGTACAGTATCATAAGAGATTCTTGCCTAACCTAACGGTCTTTCCCAGCAGTACTAAGATCCATTTATTGTGTTTCATTTTGTTTCCATTTGTGGATTTGGAGACATTAACAAATTAGCATTATATTCACAAGTATTGCCCATGGCAGTTGAAGAGTATTTTGGAATTTTAAATAATTCATATTACTTTTACTTTGTTTCTCTGGGACGCTAGACCAAACATATTTGAAGTGTGTTATTGATTTTTTTTAAATTGGCAACTAGATAGATATTGATATAATAAAATACAATTTAATTTCTGTAAGTTTGATATTTAAAAATTTAGTTTTACTTAAATAATTTTGATTTAAATATTAAATATTTGTTGATTATAATTCCTTTTTCTCAAAATTCTAATAGATGATTGTGAAATTAAAAATCTTTTTTGGAAAACTGTGCAAATATAACAATCATTTTGATTTTTACATTTATATTTTTAATACAAATAGTAAATTATGTGTATTTTAATACAATTAATTTTTATTTTGTGTTTCTATATTACACAACACGTATTATACTGAAATGGGAATAAGTAAAAGCAAATTTTATAGACTAAGTGAATGATAATTTGTGAGTTATCTATATCTTGATTTTAGTCCTGTTCCCTAAAAAATGTCGGGTCACTGATAGAATGCCTAGATGTACAATAATGATTCAATTCAGTCATCCTTGATATTATTTTGACTTTCAGTAATATACAAACTATGGCTTTACACATCTATTTTTAAATTATGTTTTTCTGAATGTTAAGAAATTGAATTTATTAAGAATTTTGAATTTATTAAGACTTTTGAATTTATTAATGAATACATTTGTTAAGAAGCAAAGATAAAGCAAACTTTATTAGCAGCTTGTTAACTTACAGCCTTTAAATATTTAGCCATATTCATGTAGCCTCTGTTTATTGTCTTGGTCAGGACTCCAAAAATAGTAGAATTGGGCATGCTGATGATGATGACAGTCTAATTGTCCAAGGGGTATTGAGGGAGCATTTCAGTGTCAGTGCTTGCAAATATAAAGAGGAGAGTGACACATGAGGCTCATATGAGGCAGATCAATTCAAGATCTTTGCACGTGTGTGTACAAGTGCTGCACAAGCTTGAGGGCTCCAGGACATATATCCACAGGAAAATCAGACAGTTTTGTTGAAAAATTGATAAATTTAAGGATTGAGAGAACATCTTTTTTTTTGGTCAACAACAAAAATATAAAGACATTTTAGACACTCCAAGAAATATACGAAAAGTCATGAATCAAATCGAAAAGTAGCGTGATTTACAGCAACTAATGGAGCACAAAAAGAAAAAATCGGCTGGGCGCGGTGGCTCACACCTGTAATCCCAGCATTTTGGGAGGTGGAGGCGGGTGGATCTCTTGAGGTCAGGAGTTTGAGACCACCCTGGCCAACATGGTTAAACCCCGTCTCTACTAAAAATTAAAAAAAGAAAAAAATAGCAGGGCATGGTAGTGCGCACCTGTAATCCCAGCTACTAGGAAGGCTGAGGCAGAAGAATTGCTTGAACCCAGGGGGCAGAGGTTTCAGTGAGCCGAGATCCTGTCACTGCACTCCAGCCTGGGTGATAGAGGGAGACGACTCCGTTTCAAAAAAAAAAAAAAGAAAAAAAGAAAAAATTACTTTTACCACATTGATAGTTAAATGCACATGAAATTTTACCTTCAGAAGAAGAAATACATGGGTACATTTCTATCACACATGGGGCTCTTCAAAGTTTAATTTTTATCTCATCGTAATATCTGTTTTTAGCCAGTTTATAGATACAGCATGAAAGACTTACCTATGGTTACAAAATAGATGGATTTGGGGTTCAGTCACAGCATTTTCAAAATTAAAACCAAACCTAATAAGTATTGGCAATCTGTACCTAACAAATAAGATTATGTCAAGAAAAATGTAAGATGTCTGGTAAAGAAGTAAAGGAAAGTAAAACTCATTTTCCATGATTAGTTTTTTTTAATTTTTGACTTTGATAATTACAGAGAAAAGTGCTTTGAAATATGCTTATGGAGGACTTACAGTATCAGAAAACAAAACAAAACAATGTGAAATTTCTCAAATAAAAATCTTGAGTTTATTATACCCTTGCATTAGCCAAAAATTAATTATAATTACACATTGTATTTTTATTCTTGTGAATTTTGTGGGAAATATTTTATCCCAGTTTCATAAGTGAGGAAATTGAGGCACCTAGAGATTAATTGGTTTCTCCTGAGGCATGAAGTCAGTAATTTACAGTGAACCTCTCATGTCTTTGAAAACAGTTATTGGAATCTCATCCTAGGTTTTTCCTAGTTCCTTCTTTCAGCTTCTGTTTGTCACTCAATGTTCTAGTTTCAACTTGTACACTTTCTAGCAAATAAACAAAGACGAGGAAGCTTGGTGACCATAATTATTGGTCAAATATTTCATTTTGGTGACGTACATTCTTAAAGAGGGAAATGACAATGATGAGTGAAAAAGTAAAATCCTAGTGGTGAGTGGCAACATAGTCTAAGACAAAATCACAATTTCTCCTTGTGAAGCTGAAACTTACTTTCATAAATTTGTTTCCACTGAGTGTTCATAAATTTATTATTGTGAATGCTACTGTAATTTAAATTTATTTATTTTTAACTGACAAAATTGTATATATATTTATGTGGTACAAAGCGATGTTTTGATATATATACATAATGTGGAATGATTAAGCTAATTAACATATTTGTTACTTCACATACTTATTATTATGAAAACATTTAAAATCTACTCTCCTAGGAATTTTCAAGTATACAATACATTATTATTAACTACACTTACCATGTTGTACAATAGATCCTAGAATTTATACCTAATTGAAATTTTGTGATATTTCATCATCTCTCCATTGTCTCTCCATCCTCTCGTAACCACCATTCTACTCCACTTTTGAGAGTTTTGACTCTTTTTAGATTCCACCTATTAATGAGATCATGTGGTATTTCTCTTTCTGTGCCTGGGTTATTTCACGTAACATAATTTTCTCCAGATCCATACTTGTTGCAGATGACAGAACTGTCTCTTTTAAGGCTGAATAGTATTCCATTGTGTATATATATCACATTTTCTTTATCCTTCATCTGATGATGGACACTTAGGTTGATTCCATATCTTGGCTACTGTGAATAATGCTGCAATGAACACTGGAATTCAAATATCTCTTTGACATGCTGATTTCATTTCCTTTGGATATATACTCAGATGTGGAATTGTTGAATCATATGGTAGTTCTAAATTTTATTTTTTAAGTCACCATCATATAATGGCCTAATTTACATTCTAATAACAGTGTACTAGGGTTGTCTTTTCTCCCTTACCCTCACCAATACCTATTTTGAGTCTTTTTAGTAATGGCTGTTCTAACAGATATGAGGTGATATCTCATTGTGGTTATAATTCACATTTCCCTGATGATTAGTGATGTTAAGTATTTTTTCATGTAGCTTTTGTCCATTTGCATGTCTTCTTTTGAGAAATGTCTATTCAGATCTTTTGCCCATTTTTAAATTGGGTTATTTTCTTTCTCTAAATTTTGGTTATTTGTTTGAGTATGGATGCTAATCTTGTTTGTGTTTCTATATGAGTGTTTCCTACTATATTATCCTCTATAACAAATGCCGTGGTAGAAAGTACCCTTTACTATAAGTCACCAGAACCCCTGAGTTGAGGGTTGGTCTGTACCATTTTCTAGAAGAGTGATGTTAGATAAAGCAGTTAGTTTACCTGAGCCCCTTGTTTTCTCATCTACAAAAGGAGAATAGTAATGAGAGGTGACAACGTGTTAGCAGCCCTCGCTTGCTCCCAGTGCCACCTCAGCCTCGGTGTCCGCTCTGGACACACTTGAGGAGCCCTTCAGCCCGCCGCTGCACTGTGGGAGCCCCTCTCTGGGCTGCTCAAGGCTGGAGCTGGCTCCCTCGGCTTGCAGAGAGGTGTGGGGGGGTGCGTGTGGAGGGAGAGGCGTGGGTGGGAACCGGCGTTGGCACCACAGGCCAGTACCAGTTCCAGGTGGGTGTGGGCTCAGCATGCCCCGCACTCGGAGTGGCCGGCTGGCCCGCCAGCCTCGGGCAGTGAGGGGCTTAGCACCCAGGGTCAGCAGCTGTGGAGGGTGTGCTGGGTCCCCCAGCAGTGCCAGCCTGCCAGAATTCTCGCGGGGCCTCAGCTGCCTCCCCACGGAGCCGGGCTCGGGACCTGCAGCCCACCATGCCCGAGCCTCGCCCCACCCACTGTGGGCTCCCGCATGGCCCGAGCCTCACCAGTGGGCGCTGCCCTCTGCTCTGCGGTGCCTGGTCCCATCACCTGCCCAAGGGCTGAGGAGTGCAGGCGCAGGGCATGGGACTGGTGGGCAGCTCCGCCCGTGGCCCTGGCGCAGGATCCACTAGGCGAAGCCAGCTGGGCTCCTGAGTCAGGTGGGGACTTGGAGAACTTTTATGTCTAGCTAGAGGATTATAAATGCACCAATCAGCACTCTGTGTCTATCTCAGGGATTATAAACACAACAATCAGCACTCTGTGTCTAGCTAAAGGTTTGTAAAGGCACAAATCAGTGCTCTGTGTCTAGCTAATCTAGTGGGGACTTGGAGAACTTTTATGTCTAGCTAGAGTATTGTAAATGCACCAATCAGCACTCTGTGTCTAGCTGGGGGATTGTAAACACACCAATCAGCACCCTGTCAAAACAGACCAATCAGGTCCTTGTAAAATGGACCAATCAGCTCTGTGTAAAATAGACAAATCAGCTCTCTGTAAAATGGGCCAATCAGCTCTCTGTATAATGGACCAATCAGCAGGATGTGGGTGGGGTCAGATAAGGGAATTAAAGAAGGCTGCCTAAGCCAGCCACAGCAACCTGATTGGGTTCCCTTCCACGTTGTGTCGGTTTTGTCTCTTTGCAGTAAGTCTTACTGCTGCTCACTCTGTGAGTCCACAGCGTTGCCTTTATGGGCGGTAGCACTCACCGCAAAGGTCTGCAGCGTCACTCCTGAGGCAAGCCAGACCACGAACCCACCGGGAGGAATGAACAACTCCAAACGCGCCGCCTTAAGAGTTATAACACTCACTGGGAAGGTCTGCAGCTTCACTCTTGAAGCCAGCGAGTCTGCGAACCTACCAGAAGGAAGAAACTCTGAACACGTCCAAACATCAGAAGGAACAAACTCGGGACACACCATCTTTGAGAACTGTAACACTCAGCACGAGTTTCCACGGCTTGATTCTTGAAGTCAGTGAGACCAAAAACCCACCCATTCCAGACACACTAACACGCCTGTTTGCCTGGTTGTGTCTTGATTTGTTAAAATAAAGTATGTACAACACTTTTAGAGAATATGGAACAATAAATAAAGCAGTGCTTTTATCTTAAATTTGCTTTATGCAATATTTAAAAAGTAAGGTATGCATATAAGTAAAGTCCTCTTAATGTATAAAATATTTTAGTACATAAGACAATCTTGAAGACAGGTGTAAGCTTGGAAAGTTTCTTACAAATTAGTCATTATTAAAGACTCATTTACTCTATTGAAACTATTGCTGAGCCACATGTAGTTATTAAAATCTAGAAATTACATAATATTCTACTAAGGTTTTAGTTAATTTACATGCCTGAATATAATCTCAGCAACTGACTCATTTAAGAAATACGGATTTCTGAACTTTTTTTTTTCTGGAGAAATAAAGTGCTAAATATAATGAAAATATGACCTTAAGAAAAGAAGCAGATGATGTTTTTAGCTTTTGGGAAAGTTCATGAAAATACATTAGTAACCAAATATTTCATATTGAAAATCACCTCCTTAGGATGCTCAATTTCACACATGTGTAAAGAACACCCCGTGGCAAACAGCAAAATAGCCTGCCAAAGGTGCACATATTCTAATTCCTGGAAGCTGTGAATATATTAGGTTCAATGGCAAAAGGAATTAAAGCTGCAGATGGGATTGAGGTTGCTTATCAATAGACTTTAAAATGGGGTGATTATCCTGTGTTATCTGAGTGGGGTCAAGGTAATCAGAAGGGTCCATAAATGTGGAAGAGAGAGGCAGAAGCGTCAGTGTCAGAGTGATATGATGTGAGAAAGACTCAACCAGCTACTGCTGACTTTGAAGATGGGAGGACACAACAAACTAAGTAAAGTGGAGTAATGTGGACAGCCTCTAAAAGCAGGAAAAGGCGGGAACACAGACTCTCCTCTAAGCCTCTTGAAAGGAAGGCAGCCCTGATGACATCTTGATTTTAGCCTGTGAAACTCATTTTGGACTCCTGACCTCTAGAATTATCAGATAATAAATATGTGTTTTTTTTTAAGCCACAATGTTATGGTAATTTTTACAACAACGAAAGGAAACTGATGTAAACTCAGTGCTTCCAATCAATATAAAAGACTATGGTTGTCCCTGACAGGAAGTTACAAGCCAATGGAAATTACTATCCTGGACTCTTACGTGAACAAATGTATGGAAAGAGAGGTTTCCTCAAATCTTGTAATAAACTAAATACTTTCTATGTAGCACCTGTAAAGATTAAACTAGTTACTTCAAATTAAAAGTTATGAGGTAGGAAAATAGAGGAGATGCAAATGATAAGTAATCATATTATTTCAAAAACTAATTTACTAAATATCAAGAAGATTTATAGCTAGTGCCCTTGCTTAAAAGTTTTGAAGGATTTTGACAACAGGTGTTGTAGTGAAGATGGAAGGAAATCTTGGATTTTAATAAAAACATAAATCTTTCTGTCACCTCCCAACTGGATAGGAATTTATTCATATGGCAATTGTTTAGAACTTCCATAGATAATTTTCTTTGCTAATTGTGTTATTATTATTACTATCGAATACTACAATTACTTATGGAAAGCCATTTTATTCTTTGCAGATTTTTTATATCAAACCAATTAGCACCAATCAAATTTGTACAATTCTCCAATTACGTTATTATTTAAAACTAGGTGGTTTATTTTGGAACAGTGTACATATTTTTGAAACATCATAAAAAACATCAAGAGAAAGAAAGTCATACAAAGCCCTCCCCACCCACCCGTCATCACTACCAAATACTGAGTTTTTAACTGACACTCTGGATGGAAACGTATTAGTTTCTCATTTTTCTATCCAAAAGTCATGTCTCCTACTGCCAACGTGTACTACGTGTTCTACCACTGTACTCTTGACCTCATATGGCACCTGTCCTCAAATGAAATGGAAGCATTTACCCGGGAACTGGAAATGTTGTGTGTCCTGAGGATGTAACAAAGAAAGAGTGTTTTTGAGGAAAATAGCATTTTTTAAAGTCTCTTAAGTTTGTTATTTTTCTGTAGAAGGTAGGACATGTTTATATTCCTTTTCATATTAGGTATTTCATATTCATATATGGACCAATGTATGTATACAAATAAAAAAACCAAGCCTTACCAATCCCTCATGAGATTTAAGCCTCACACATTATTTTCCTAATGAAATATAGTTTAAAATTTTGTAATTTATAGAAAACTTTAGTTGGTCTAGGTAAACCAGACCTAGTGCTTAATATTTATTATACTTTTACATAGAAGATGAGAATTCAAGAATATCTATGTGTTGTCTCTTGATTTGATAGTTATGTCCAGTGTTTGAGGCAATTATTACCATTTCTATATTGCTTGTTATCATATTTATTGGTAAAAATGTCAGTGTACTAAGAGTATAATGAGCTTGGTTAAGTTTTTAATTCTCTTTTGCCTAATATAGCCATAATGGATTATATATAAAGTCACATATAGTGCCTTATTCTCAAGTAGGAGGAGCTATAATGAAGAATGCTAAGAGGAAAAATATTAGATTGGAGAAACCCAGCCAGTACGGCCATACTAATGAATATGAGAAAAAATTCAATGCAAGTTTCCAAAAAGTTAAAAAAAAAGATACAGAAGAAGAGGTTGAGACCTTCATTGAAAGAAATAATATACAATATCAAAGATCAACTACTTTCCCTTTATCAACCAGTTTCTTCTTTTTTGCCAATAAAATGTGTAGATTCTATTTTTTTTTGACTAATTCTTCTTTAGTGCTGCTAGTGAGGCTCATGTTCTTAAATTTTCTATAAATAAAAAGAAAAATTAAAAGAAAGAGTTAACTTTTATTGGGGGATATTTTTGAAAGACTTTCAAGTGGCGAAAGATAATTCAAGTTCAAAGTTAGAAAGAAAAATATAATAATCAAGTAACTGGCAGTTGTCCACAGGAAAAGATTATTCATGAGCCGACAGGACTGGAACACTTACAGGACATGGAAGCTGTGGGTGGAAACTCACTGTCTACATTAAATAAAGTGGGTTTTGGCACTGCTTTAGACTTGATGTTGAATTCTCTGTCTGTATGCTTTTGTCTTCCCAGACAGTCAATTTCACTGAGGGCAGTGAAGTGGGAGTGGGGAGCAGGGACGCTAATTGTAGCAATTCCCTTTCGACTTGCCAGCTCCCTGGAGAAGATTGTTAGTGGCCCAGCTGAATCTCATCACAGTCATGGAAAACAGCATTCAGTAAATGGTCTGATCCCGAGAACATATTCCTGAGAGAATCAAAATGTCTTCCATACTAACAGACTTAATTTGTCGTGTATATTTTGTGTTGACACTTTATAGCTTTATAAATTCACACTTTTTAAATAATATTTTATCAAAACCAACATGTTTTCCATTTAATGTTGAAATAATATTGGAAAAATGCTGTTTGCAAATAGGTATTTGTTGATTTCTTGTCCCTGGAGCTTAGTATATTATATGTTTAATTTCTTATAGCTGTAAGACACTGGAAACTTTAGGCCATATCTAGGTGTTAAGAAATGTATAAGAAAATGGTTTGCTGGATAATAGTTAAAATATCTTGGGGGATAGGAGAACTAGGATGTATTCCATAAGGCATCTCCCTTCATTTTATAATAAAATTATAATATATCTTTGAACATTTAGTAAAACTTCTCAATATAATGAATAGCATACCTCATGCTTATGAAATTTGAGATCCTACATTACCATTTAGTCAAAATTGCTTCCACCAGCAAGAACACCTAAATTTCCCTGTTATCATTAAATTCCAGATAAATGAACTTCTCTGAGTTTCAATTTTCAAGTTCTAAAATGAAACACATTCTGACTTTGTATAATATGTAGATAAGACATCTTAAAACAGATTTCTGAGAAAAATTACCTTAAGTGGACATACCATTGCATATATTATCCTGATAAATCATACCAAATTGTTGCTTTTTATCTTAAAACTACCTTTTTAAAAGCATATACTAATAATACAAAGTGGGGAAAAGATGTTTCTTTTATTTATAGGAAAAATATAACAGTAAAAAAGAGAAGGTAAGAGAAAGAAGAGAAGGGAAAGTATGATTGACTACTGCACCTAGGGATAAATGTGTATAAACCGGTTCATTATTTTTTATATCCTATATGAGTTTCTCCAATTTCCAAACCAAATAATAGAGATAATTTTTGCTAACTCCAAATGGCACTGCTTTTGCATATTCTCCAAAACCATCATGTTCTAAATTGTGTATAATTACATATTTAGAGGTTAGGGTTGGTGGATAGAGATGAGGGCTCTCTGGAGACAGAATATCCACAGAAAAGGGAAGTAGAAGGATTTAAAAAACAAACTTCACAAGGTTTCCTAGCTTCAGATCTGCATGTATTATTCTTCTTACATGTTTATTATGACTACTGCATTTTGGAAGGATGTAAAATCTCGATTTTTTCCTTGATAATTTCATGCATAATCTGAACATCTTAATTTGGCTACAAAGTTGTTGAGTTTTAATCTTCCAAAGTGCCTGGTGCAATAATCAGGATAACCTTATGCTGTAAAACAAAAACTCCCATATGTCCGTGGTTTACAATATCATTTTTTTTTCCTTCTTTCTCATAATACATTTACAATCTGGGTTGGCAGAGAAGGGGGTTGCTAAAAAGACTACCTTGATTCAGGTTCTTTTGTCATTTGAAGTGAGGCTTCAGACTTAGCCATGGTAGGATAAAATAACAAACCAACAAACACATGGAGAATTGAGTTTTTTAAATGCTTCTGTGCAGAGTGACACATCACTTTCACTCACATTTCATTAACCAAAGTAAGTCTTAGGACTATACTTAGACATAAAAAGTGAATGATTATGGAAGGAGAGGAGACCTAGAATTCTTGGAATATTATAATAACATCTATTACAGTTTGCTTTTTTGATCACTAAGTATTCTGATTACTCTCCTTCCCACAGGCGGTGCATACTCAATACCGCTTAGAGAGAGACAACTCAATAGTCATTCCAGTCACGGTATAGAACTTAAAATTCAAGCCGTCTCTAACGATGTGCACTGGTCTGTTCATTAGGTCTGAATTTGGCTTGCTTTGATCTAGGGAAGAGTGACCTAAATCAAGCTAAATTGCACCACCTACTCAATCACTCACCCACCCTGTGCTGCCCCAGACCCACAATATGCAATGATGGAAAAGGAAGATAATAAACACTGTCCTTCAGAAACGGGAAGAATAGGGGACTTACTTTCTACAGGCCCTGATTCACATCAATTCTAAAATTTCACTGGGAAGATATTATGAGCTTCACTATCTTGGAGGTGTGGAATGTTCCTTGGTTATGCTCTGATTCTATTCCTTGGGAAGAGCTCCTTTGTTCATTGTTTTGCAAGTCGCTAGCTACACCCTCTGAAAGAGTTTGCTTTTTCCAATATATTTCTTGGCCACATCTAAAGTAGGCCATAGGGAATACTCTGTGCTGCTTTCTTAACTCATTTCCTGCCTATATATGGTTGGGTGCTCAAAGATCATTTAAAGTCTGGAGAAACAGACTCCTGGTTCTTTTGGAAGTACTGCTCTCTCAGAGACTCACCAAACTTATTATCTATCTGATTTTATTCATGGGTCTGTAACTAGACTGACACTATTTTCTGAGATACAGTTGCCAGAACTGCTAACATTTCTTTGTTTTCTCTCTCATGCTCTTTCTCACTCTCACTCTGTCCTTTGTGTTAGGTCCTTTGAGACTTGAGCATGTAATAATGAATCCTTTTTGAAAAAACTAAAAACAAAATTACAGAGTTGTATACCCTAATCTGCTCCATGCCCAGAGGTAATTTAATCAATTAAAAGATTTTAGTGAATGTTGGACTCACAAAGTATTTCTCAATCTTTGGTTGTTTGGGATGAAAAAAGTACTTTCTGGACTTATTCTATTTCCTTTCTCCTGGTCTTTGGAAACTGACTAATTCTTTCCTGAGTTCTTCTGTTTTTTTTGCAATGTATTGCAAAACTATCCAGTGGTAACCAATACACACAACCAACATTTGCTTTCCAAT
This sequence comes from Homo sapiens, assembly GCF_000001405.40. Taxonomy (NCBI): domain Eukaryota; kingdom Metazoa; phylum Chordata; class Mammalia; order Primates; family Hominidae; genus Homo; species Homo sapiens. Next base: position 42,367 of record NW_025791764.1, on the reverse strand, counting down.
ATGCTCCCCTAGAGCTACAAGTGCATTGGGAACATGAGCTGTCTTGCATGTTATTATAGGCTTCAGCAAATGTTTTATCTCCATGCTGTAGGGCAAACATCACTATCTTCAGTTTCCAGATTCAGTTTTCCCAACACCAGCTATTGTGTCCCTAAGAGAGCATGACATATTTTAGGATTTTTTTAAAGGGAATAATTATGCTTTAGGTTCTATTTTTATAATCACTAAGAGATAGTCAATTGTTAAAGAAACAAAAATTTCAAGAGTTTAAAGCAAGATGCACAAGCCAATTGTTTTCCTGTGTACCAGCAATGACAAACTGGAATTTGAAGTTAAAAAAAAGTAGTAGCACCAAAAATAAAAATGAAATAAATAGTTGTAAATGTAGCAAAATGTGTACAAAATATGTATGTAGAAAGCTGCAAATTACTATGGAAATAAATCAAACAATATCTAAATAGGAAAAAAGATATGCCTCTGGATTAGGAGACTCCATAGTGTTAAGATGTCAGTTCTTCTCAGTCTGATCTATAGATTAAATATAATACCAATCACAATCCCAGCAACCTTTTTTTGTAAATATAAAAAATATTCTAAAATTTATATGGAAAGGCAGAGAGACTGGAAAAACAAAGGCAATTCTGAAAACAAACAATTGGAGTAATCTCATTACTGGATTTCAAAATTTATTATAAAATTACTATAATCAAAACAGTCTTGTATTCACAAAAAAATTAGATACATTAATTCATGGAACAAAATGGAGAGCCCAAAGGTAAACACATATAGGTATAGCCATCTGATTTTGACAAGGTGCGAAGGTTATTCAATGGAAACAGGACAGTCTTTTCAAGAAATGCCATTGAAATAATTGGATATCCAAGCCTACACATAAATCTCATACCTCACACAAAATTAAGTGAAAATGGATCAAAGATATAAATGTAAAATGCAAATCCATAGAACTTCTAGAAGAAAAATAAGAGAAAATCTTCATGACTTGGTGTTCAGGTATTAGTTTTAAATATAATACCAAAAGCACAATGCATTGAAAAAAAAATTTGCACCTTATTAAAATTAAAAAGTTTTTCTCTGTAAATGACACTGATAACAGTGAAGAGACAGGCCACAGACTGGGAGAAATTACACATATCTGATAAAAGACTTGTATTTATAGTATACCAAGAACTCTTAAAATAACAGAGATTTATTTTGTCTTTATGCTACATATCACTACAGATCACTATGGGTCACTCAATAGGCTCTGCTGTCATATTAACTTTAGGGTTCTCTAGGTTAGGTGAAGATGATACAGAGAATTGGACCACTTTTTTTTTTTTGCTATTGTTGTTGTTGGAGCCTTGCTCTGTCACCTAGGCTGGAGTGCAGTGGCGTGATCTCAGCTCACTGCAACCTCCGCCTCCTGGGTTCAAGCAATTCTCTGCCTCAGCCTCCCAAGTAGCTGGGATTACGGGCACCTGCCACCACGCCCAGCTAATTTTTGTATTTTTAGTTGAGATGGTGTTTCACCCTCTTGGCCAGGCTAGTCTTGAACTCCTGACCTCGTGATCAACCCACCTCGGCCTCCCAAAGTACTGGGATTAGAGGTGGGAGCAACTGCGCCCAGCCTGGACCACTCTTAATTGTTCCTACTGGTAATTGGCATGCCACCTCTGATGACATTTCATGGGATAAAGAAAATATGACCCAAAGTCTGCTCTTAGAAGAAAAATTCCAGGAAAAAAATTCTGGAATAAACTGCAAATGTAGCTGAGCACTAGTAAGCTTTCCTTGTTAGGTGATTTACGTATGCATGAACACCTGAGAGACCATTTAGATGATATTCATTAAACACTGCATATACAAATCAGATGTTACTTGGTAAAGAAATTACCTGATTTTTATCTTTGCAGGAGATTGAAAGTCTAAAGCAATAAAGTCTTCAACTTTCATATAAATATTAGATTATAATTTAATTACTAGATATCCACTTAGAAAGTAATTAAGACCTTTGACAGGACAAAGAAAGATAAAAGAAAACAAATATGCCATTTGAAAGTGACTGTATACAGCTAAAATAGCTTGAAATGAAATGGCTTTAGAGAAATGTCTAATGTAACTATATAAACTTCAGTGGTTTCTTTCAAAGTTGCTGAAATTTTTGGGTCAGTTAGACCACTAGAGTTAACTTAGAGACAATGAAAACATGAAAAGACCACATGAAGAGTTTCCTGAATCAAAGGAAAACCATCACATTTCAGTAAGTTGTAGAAGTTTTTATGTGCAAAGAACTTTCATTTGGAAAATCCAAACCAATTACTCAAAGATTTCAAAGATTGTTTAAAAATAACATTAATGTACTACTAATGTAATTTTATTTAAAATGAAACTAATTTACTATTAACTACTAATTTACTAACCACTGTCATTTGAACAGGTCAGTACCTCTACATTTTTATGCAAGCTTATGGTGATCCTGTTTCTTTAGGATCTTGATGCCTCCAGGCTTCAGTTAAATTCAGTATATGAGTAGTTGATTAATGAAAACTTTTTCAACCAAGAGTGTTAGCCTATCATTGGAATAAAATACATCAATAATACATAGGGCTCTAGTGCCTGAAGATGCTAAATGGAGTGGTCGGGAAGTATGCTTCTCCACCTCCCTGAACTTGACTGACAAAAGGGCAAGATCAATAAATATTAGTAGCTAAGTGCAAATTTAGAGAAAAAAATCACTAATTGATAATTCATTTGATGTTTTCTTTTCTATATCAGTCCTTTCAACAATCATAAACAGACACCACAAAAAATGCTAGGATTTTTTTTCTTATGAAAATCAGCTTTTTAATTTTATTTTTAAGACTAGTATTTATCACAAATTGTTGGCCTCCGAAGAATAAATTGACAAGAAGCTTCCTGGTATGGTTTTGATCTGCGTCCCCACCCTAATCTCATGTTCAATGGTAATCCCCGGTGTTGAAGATGGAGCCTGGTGGGAGGTGATTGAATCATGGAAGTGAGTCCTTAATGAATGGTTTAGCATCATCCATTTGGTGCTTTTCTCCTGATAGAGTTCTCATGAAATCTGGTTGTTTAAGTGTGTGGCATCTTCTCCCATCTCTCTTCTTCCTACTCCAGCCATGTGAAATGCTCACTCTCCCTTACCTTCCCCATTATTGTAAGTTTCCTCAGTCCTGCCCAGAAGCTGAGCAGATGCCAGCACCATATTTTCTGTGCAACCTGCAGAAACATGAGCCAATTAAACATTTTTTCTTTATAAATTACCCAGTCTCAGGCATTTCTTTATACAAATGCAAGAACTAATACACTTCCATAGATCTCAATTTTATAAACTAGATGAAGGAAAACATAGTTAAATTCTGAAAAAGGAATTCAAATTTGTAGTCTCCAAATGGATAAACTGTGGGAGCTGGGGATAAATAACAACTCGGAGTTATAAACTATATGCTCTTTGAAATAAATGGCATATTGAATGTTGCCTTGGATAGTCAAAACATTTCAGAGTTTAAAATGGCTTACTAGGAAATTTACCCATAAAATAATTGTTGTTTATTAGTTTTCCAAATGCATTTAAAAAATGAATATAATGAATATACATTTTAGGTTCAACAAGTTTGTGCTTGTTCTAATCCAAGCCAAACTTGGATTTCATGTTGCCATTAGCTCTTGAAATAGTTAACATAGAAACATACTCATCTATAGCTCCACATACTCACATGTATATAATTGATTTCTTTACAGACTGTAGCTAATTTTCTTAAAACACACAAAAGAGAAAAGTACACAGGGTAGAAAAAGTAGGTTTAGTGACAAAAAGTAGATATTAGCATATAAGATATTTTTGGTTTTAACTTTCTCTTTTAGCTATTTGAGCTTGGGCAAGTCATTTAATCACTTTGCCTCAAATTCCTCATTTGTAAAATGGAGAATAGCAATAACATCTATATCAAAAGATTATTGTGAAAACTAAGTTCATATATATATACACACATATATATACATATATACATGTATATATATATACATGTATATATGTATATATATGTATATATATGTGTTTGTGTGTATATATATATATTTTATATATATAATATATATATATATATATGAACAGGTCCTGACATAAAGTTAACTAAAGGCCGGACAAACCTCAGTTATTGTTATCAAATGTATTATCTTTCTTTTTTTTTGAGATGGAGTTTTGCTCTTGTTTCCAGGCTGGAGTGCAATGACGCGATCTCGGCTCACCACAACCTTCACCGTCTGGGTTCGAGCAATTCTCCTGCCTCAGCCTCCCGAGTAGCTGGGATTACAGGCATGAGCCACCATGCCCAGCTAATTTTGTATTTTTAGTAGAGACAGGGTTTCTCCATGTTGGTCAGGCTGGTCTTGAACTCGAGACCTCTGGTGATCCGCCCGCCTTGGCCTCCCAAAGTGCTAGGATTATAGGTGTGAGCCACCATGCCCGGCCATCAAATGTATTATCTTATACTCATTAGATTGTTATGAGCAGTGTATTTTACACATTTCTATCCATACATCCTGTATATCAAGGGCTTAATCTACTACAAACCAACTTTTAAAACACTTTATTAATGGTTTGTTCCATGTCTTCGCAGTATCTCAACTGGCATTATCCGTTTTCACCTTTGCTTTACTCTTACTCATACTATTATCCCCTTCAGCTGTGCCTTTCTCTCCTGTTCTGTATGTGTCTGGGAATCATTAATTATCCAAAGGCAAGATTAAGTTTACAGGTTATTTTTAGTTATATAAGAAAAAGGTGATATCATCTCCTTGGAACTTGTATAACATTTATTACATTCTTGAAATTAAAGAACTGTTTGATTGGAGCATTGTTTACTGTTAGCTAATTAGGACCAGAATGTTCACTTTAATATAAGCAATGTCAAACCAAAGTTCTTATTTATTGGCTGATATTTTTTGAAGGATTGAGGGACATGATTTAATAACTTTATTCCCAGCTCAGTTCTGATTATCTGATAGTTTCAAAATTAACTTTGGCTCAGTTTAATTTTCCACTTACCTTTATAGACGTATAGTTATAACACAACTATAGTAACATTCCAGAAAATTATTTTTGAGTAAAATCTTCTGTGGAAAGCTTAGTTACATTGTAATTGTTCAATTGCAGAGATTTGTTTTTGTACCTACGTCTCCCACCTATTAGTAAGTGTGATTTTTCTGTTATTTCAGTAGGAAGAGATAAGGCAAATTTTAGTTTGTAAATCAGAGAGATGGAGAAAATAAATATGAGTGTTTTATTTATTTATTTATTTATTTATTTGAGACGGAGTCTCACTCTGTCGCCCAGGCTGGAGCGCAGTGGCATGATCTAAGCTCACTGCAAGCTCCGCCTCCCGGGTTCATGCCATTCTCCTGCCTCAGCCTCCGGTGTAGCTGGGACTACAGGCACCCGCCACCACGTCTGGTTAATTTTTTTGTATTTTTAGTAGAGACGGGGTTTCACCGTGTTAGCCAGGATGGTCTCTATCTCCTGACCTCGTGATCTGCGAGACTCAGCCTCCCAAAGTGCTGGGATTACAGGCGTGAACCACCGCGCCCGGCCAATATGAAGTCTTTATTAGAGCTGATGACCACTGGGCAAAGTCTGTTCTTGGAAGCAGCTATCTCTATTGTTTGCACAGGTAATCAATTTTAGAGCTTGTGATCTCACCCTTCTTTTGCCTCAGGGATCCAGTGGTAGCCTTCCTTAGACTGGCTACTGGCCTTAAATGTGGACTGGTGGAATAAAGTGAGCTTATCCAGCCAGGTTCTCTCTCTTACAACACTGAGTCAGAAGTATGGAAATGATTTGCCAATTGAGAAAAAGATCAGAACTCAAAAAACTGCCATACATGTGAATCATATTATGACAAAATGAAGCTAAAATTTTTAGAAGTCAGAGAAAATTGTTGTTAAGAAATGCATGAAGAGAAAAATCCTGCAGTTTATGAAAGAGAAACAAAATGGTTGCTAAAATTCCCTGGGTTCTTGCTGCCATTCTAGGTCCCATTTGCAGTTCTTTCCCCTTCCCTTCCATCTCTAACAGTTTCTTTTTTTTTTTTTTTTTTTTTTTTTTGAGACAAGACTGTTTCCAGACTGGAGTGCAGTGGCACGATATCTCGGCTCACTGCAACTTCTGCCTCCCAGGTCTAACAGCTTTAAGGAGATTATTTATGTATTTTTACTTTTTCACAACAGTATGTATACATTTTTTATATAAGGTGTAAGATGCCTAGGTAGGAGCAGCAGATAGTATCCATATATTACACTAGCGGCCACTAACCTGAGGAAATGAAGATTTAGAAGGAAATTTCATAGTTGTGAGAATTATTTAACACAGAAATACATTGGGAAAGGGTTTTCTGGAATGGCTTAGAAATGGAATCATTTATACTTGGAGGGATAAATTAGATTTATGTTTGCCCAAAGAAAGTTTGAAATGCCATATCAAAGCTCTTCCACGAAAAATATACTTTATTTATCTTTTAAATGATAGTTTTCTGTGTAGTATGCATTTACAACTATTAAACTTACATTTAAAAATGAGGCCAGCTTGGTTAGCATTAGCTTTTTGATTTTCGTGCAACAAATTATTGCAAACTTAGTGGCTTGAAACAACATCCACTAATTAGTTTAAAATTTGATCATTTAGAAGTTTGGTATAGTGGGTATAGTGTGCTGGGTTTTCTGCTCAGAGTATCACAAGGCTAAAATCTACATGTTGAATGGTTTAGTTCTCATCTGGAGATTCAGTGGAAATACTACTTTTTTTCTTTTCTTTTTTTTTTTTTTTTTGAGACAGGATATCACTTTGTCGCCCAGGCTGGAGTACATTGGCACTATCTCAGCTTACCGCAACCTCCACTTCCTGGGTTCAAGTGATTCTCATGCCTCAGCCTCCTGAGTAGCTGGGATTACAAGCATGTGCCACCCTGCCTGGATAAGTTTTGCGTTTTCAGTAGAGATGGGGTTTCACCATGTTGGTCAGGCTGGTCTCGAACTCATGGCTTCAAGAATCCTCTTGTCTCAGCCTCCCAAAGAGTAGGGATTATAGGTGTGAGCCACTGTGCCTGGCCTCAGTGAAAATATTACTTCTAAGCTTATGCTTATTTCCTGCAGTTGTAGGGTTGAGGTTCTCATTCTCTTGTTCACTATCAATTGAGAACTGCTCTCAGCTCCTAAAGGTCACTCTTGTTCTTTGGCAAGTAAAGTCTGCCATCTTCAAATCAACAATGGCATGTAAAATCCTTCCTGAATTTCAAATTCTTGTTGTTCTCTTCTATAATCAGCCATAAGAAACTCTTGGCTTTTGAGGACTCTTACAATTAGGTCAGGACCACTTAAATAATCTCTGTTTTAGAGTCAACTGTGCCATAGCATAATCTAATCATGGGAATACTATCTATTTTATTCACATTCTCAGATATTAGAATAGGACATTTGGAGAATAATTTTAGAATTCATCGCTCTGCATTCTGGTCAACAAAGGTGCCATATTAGAGGACCAGCCAATGATATCACATTGCAGGAATCATAGTTCACAGGTTTACCAGGTTTGAGTCCCTAGCCAGCTTCCTCACAGAGCCTTTGTGGTTTAGCTAAGTCTTTCTCACATCTGGAGACAATTTCAAGTCAGTGATAAAGTGAAGAGGGCACATCTGTACACATCCAACCCCAGCTGTTGAGCAGCAACTCCACCAAGCCTTTGTGCTCTATTTAAGCCTATCCGAGGCAGAAAAGCAAGCCCAAGTTCATCATATATACAGAGCATTGCCTCTCACCCTGCCCACTTTGTGTGGCTAAGTAGCAACCTGAGATACCTTACCTAGCCTCAGATCCCAGCACATGACTCTGCCCAACTATAGATTCCAAATAACAGTGTCTCCTAACCAGGGAGGACAACCTGCAGCCCTTCTTGGTCACAGAATACCACAGAGCCTAGCTAGCAACTCTGCCTGACAGCAGAATTTAGCCAGAGGTCTCACCAGAGCATGGAGCATAGACAACCGTATCATTAGACCTCAGAGAACAGGAAGTGACCCAGCTCAACCAGAAAATCTGACACCAACATCTTTCTGCCTTGTGGTGCTACCAGCCAACTCATCTAGAATTTTCAGCCTAGACTAAATAGTAAAGAACTATTACCACCAAAGAGTGTCCACAAAGGCTGAAAGAAGGATTTGTCTCATCAAATATACAGGCATCAACATAAGGACACAAGAATTATTAAAAAATCAGGAAAATGTGGCACCACAAAAGAAACCATAAAGGTCCAATAATGTACCTAGAAGAAATGAAGATCTATGAAATGACTGACAAAGAATTTTAAATAATCCTTACAAAGCAGCTCAGGGAAATAAAAAAAATATAGAAATGTAAATACAATTTGAAATACAATGTGTGAACAAAATGAGAATTTTTTGAAAAAGACATAGTAACAATTAAAAATAGAAATCCTAGAGGTAAAGAATACAATAACTAAACTGAAAAATTCAATAGAAAGCTTCAACAGCAGACTTGATTAAGCAGAAGAAAGAATCATCAAGCTCAAAGATAGGACATTTGAAATTATTCAATCTCTTTTTGAGAAAAAATGAAAAAGAATAAAGAACCATAGGAATTACGGGACACCGTAAAGTGAAGTGATATTCACATAGCAGGAGTTCCAGAAAACAAAAGAAAAGAAAGGCCTAGAAAACATATTTAACAAATATTGGCTGAAAATTCACCAGATCTATGGAAAGATGATGAAAATCCAAGCACAGGAAGCCCTCAGGTGGCCAATAAAATTCAGTTCAAAGAGGAGTTCACCAAGACATATCTCAATCAAGTTACCAAAAATCAAAGACAAAGAAAACAGCAAGAGGTAAGAAACGTATTGAAGGAAGCACCAATACAGCTTTCAGCAGATTTCTCAGCAGGAATCCTGCAGGCCAGAAGAGAGTGGAATGATGTATTCAAGTGCTTAAGAAAGCAAACAAACAAACAATCAAAATTTTCAACCAATAATAATTTACCCAGTAAAGTTGTACTTACAAACTGAGGGAGAAATAAAATCTTACCCTGACAAACAAAAGCTAAGGCAGGTCATCATCACTATGCCTGCTTTAAAAGAATTGTGAAAGGAAGTTCTTTAAGGCTACCAGTTAATAACAAAAACATACAAAAGTGGAAAATTCAATGGTATAAATAATACGTAGTCATGCTCAGAATTCTCTAATCCTGCAAGAGTGGTATGTAAACAATTGTATCCACACCATGAAGATTAAAAGAAAAAAAAATCATTTTAAACAACTAAGGTCACAATAAATTGCTTTTGAGAAACAAATTATAAAAGAAAGGAAAATGTAAAAATTTGATATTAAAATCAGAAAAAGTGTTTGGGAGAGGAAGAAGTGAAAGTGTAGAGTTTCTGAATGAAATTAAAGTTGTTAGCAGCTTGAAGTAACCTGCTATAAGGATAAGATGCTTTATGTAATAAGCCTATGATAACCACAAAGCAAAAACCTACAGCGGTTGCACAATATATAAAAAGTAAGGATTCAAAGCATACCACTACCAAAAACCATACAGTCACAAAGGAAGATAGAGAGGAAAAAAAAGAAATACCAAAAGACCAATCAGAACAATAAGAAAACAAATTACCAAGTGGCAGTAGCAAGTATTTACCTATCAATAATTATGTTAAGTGTGCATGGATTAAAATCTCCAATAAAGAGACACAGAGTTGCTGAATGCATTAAAAAAAAAGATCCAACCATATACTTTATACAAGAGACTCACTTTACTAACATGGACGCACAGACTGAAGGTGAAGGAAGGGAAATAATTCCATATAAATAAAAATCTGAAGAAGGTAGGGTAATTTATACTTAGATAAAATAGTATTGAAGTAAAACATTATAAAACAGACAAGGTGATTACATAATGATGAAGGGATGAATTCACCAAGAGGACATAACAATTGTGAATAAATACACACTACACATCAGAGCACCTGAATATGTCAAGCAATTATTAAATGAGCTGAAGGAAGAGCTAGACTGCAATATTATTGTAGTAGAGGAGCTCAGTACTTTCAACAATGAAAAGATAATATAGACAGAAAATCAATAAATAAACATTGGATTTAAATTATACTTTCTGCTGAAAGCTGTATTGGTGCTTCCTTTAATACATGTTTGCACACAAAACATTCTCCAGAATAGAAAATATATTAGGCCACAAAATAAATTTTACAAATTCAAGTTAATTGAAATTATATCAAGTATCTTTTGGGATCACAATGGCATAAAATATCAATAACAGGAGTAATCTTAGAGAATACAAAAATATGTGGAAATTAAACAATGCCTCCCTGAAAAACCAATGAGTCACAGAATAAATAAAACAGGAAGTCACAAAATGCCTTCAGTAAAATGAAAATGAAAACCAATGTACTAAAACTTGTGGGATGCATCAAAAGCCATCCTATTGGGTAAATATAGAGCAATAAATGCCCATATCAAAAAAGAAGGATCTCAGACAAACAATCTAATGTTAAACCTCAAGAGACTATGAAGAGAAAAACAAATTAGGCCAAAGTTAAAGGAAAGAAATGACAAATAGAGCAGAAATAAATGAAATAGACACTAGAAAAACAATAGAAAAGATCAACAAAATTAAGAATAGTTTTTTTTGAAAAGATTAACAAAATAGACAAACCCTTATCCAGGTTAGCTAGGAAAAAAAGAAGAGAGAAGACTCGAAAAAATAACCTCAGAAATGAAAGAGGAGAGATTACCACTGATATTAAAGAAATACAAAGGATAATAAGGTACTACTATAAACAATTATATGTTGACAAATTGGGTACTGTAGAAAAAAGGATAAATTCCAGATACATAACACCTAGAAAGATTAAATAATAAAAATGGAAAATCTGAAAAGACTAACAATTAGTAGTGAGATTGAATCAGTAGTAAAAAGCTTCCCATAAAAAAGAAAAAGCCCAGGATCAAGCAGTTTTATTGATGAATTCTAACAAACATTTTTTAAAAAACAAATACCAATTCTTCTCCAACTCTTCCAAAAAATCAAAATGGAACGAAAACTTTTTTTTTTCTTTATTATACTTTAAGTTTTAGGGTACATGTGCACAATGTGCAGGTTTGTTACGTATGTATACATGTGCCATGTTGGTGTGCTGCACCCATTAACTTGTCACTTAACGTTAGGTACATCTCCTAATGCTATCCATCCCCCCTCCCCCCACCCCATAACAGGCCCCAGTGTGTGATGTTCCCCTTCCTGTGTCCATGTGTTCTCATTGTTCAGTTCCCACCTATGAGTGAGAATATGCGGTGTTTGGTTTTTTGTCCTTGCGATAGTTTGCTGAGAGTGATGGTTTCCAGCTTCATCCATGTCCCTACAAAGGACATGAACTCATCATTTTTTATGGCTGCATAGTATTCCATGGTGTATATGTGCCACATTTTCTTAATCCAGTCTATCATTATTGGACATTTGGGTTGGTTCCAAGTCTTTGCTATTGTTAATAGTGCTGCAATAAACATACGTGTTCATGTGTCTTTATAGCAGCATGATTTATAATCCTTTGGGTATATACCCAGTAATGGGATTGCTGGGTCAAATGGTATTTCTAGTTCTAGATCCCTGAGGAATCGTCACACTGACTTCCACAATGGTTGAACTAGTTTACAGTCCCACCAACAGTGTAAAAGTGTTCCTATTTCTCCACATCCTCTCCAGCACCTGTTGTTTCCTGACTTTTTAATGATCGAACACTTTCAAATTAATGTTGTCAGACCAGAATTAGCCTAATACCAAAGCCAGACAAGGACACTACAAGTAAAAAATCACTACAGACAAATATCCCTGATGAACATAGATGCAAAAATTCTGAACAAAACGAATTTAATAACACATTAAAGGAATAATTTACCATGACTGTGTCAGGCCATTCTTACACTGCTATAAAAAAGTACCTGAGACTGGGTAATTTCTGAAGAAAATTGACTCACAGTTCTGCAGGCTGTACAGAGTCATGGCTGGGAGGCCTCAGGAAACTTTATGGCAGAAGGAAAAGGGGAAGCAAGCACATCTTACCATGGCAGAGCAGGAGAGACAGAGAGTGAAGAGTAGGTGCCACACACTTTGAAACCACCAGGTCTCGCGAAAACTAACCACTATCAGGAGAACAGCAAGGGGAAGTCTGCGTCCATGATCCAATCACCTCCCACCAGGCTGCTTCTCCAACTCGACATGAGATTCAGGTAGGGACACAGATTCAAACAACATCAACAATCAATGGATTTAACCCTGAGATGCAAGGATGGTTTAACATATGCAAATAAATAAATGTTATACACCACATGAACAAAATGACGCATGAAAATCATATGATCATCTCAATAGATGTAGAAAGAGCATGTCATCATTCTTTCATGATAAAAACTCTCACAGATTAGGTATAGAAGAAATGTTCCTCGACATTATAGGCCATACATGACAAATCTGTAGCTAACATCATTCTCAATGGTGAAAAGCTGAAAGCTTTTTCTCTAAGATCAGAAGACAAAGATACTCTCACCACTTCTTTTCTTTCTTTTCTCTTTCCTTCTCTTTCTTCCTTTCTTTCTTTTTTCTTTCTTTCCTCTTTTTCTTTCTTTCTTTCTTTCTTTTCTTTCTTTCTTTCTTTCTCTCTCTCTCTCTCTCTCCCTCTTTCTCTCTTTCTCTCTCTCTCTCTTTTGACAGAGTCTCACTCTGTTGCCAAGGGTGGAGTGGAGTGGTGCAATCTCAGCTCCCTGCAACCTCCACCTCCTGGGCTCCAGCAATCCTCCCACTTCAGCCTCCTGAGCAGCTGGGACTGCAAGTGCCCATCACAATGCCTGGCTATTTTTTGTATTTTTGGTAGAAATAGGGTTTTGCCATGTTGCCCAGGCTGGTCTCCAACTCCTGAGCTCAAGTAATCCACCCACCATGGCCTCCAAAGTGCTGGGATTATAGGCATGAGCCACCTCACCCAGCCCTCATTTTCAATATAGTACTGGAAGCCCTAGCCAGGGAAATTAGCCAAGAGAAAGAAATAAATAACATTTTAATAGAAAAGTAAGAAGTTAAATTGTTCCTATTTGATAATAATGCAATGTTTTAAATGGAAAACCCTAAAGACTCTACTGAAAAACTGTTTAGAACTGATAAAATGATTCACTAAAGTTTCAGGATATAAAATCAACATACAAAAACAGGGAGTATTATTATATACTGATAACAAACTATCTGAAAAGGAAATTAAGAAAACAATCCCATTTGCAATTGGAACAAAATAATTAAATACTTAGATGTTAAGTTAACCAAGAAGGTAACTCACTTGTATACTGAAAACTATATAATGGTGATAAAATAAATTAAAGAAAACACAAATAAATGAAAATATAGCAAAAATAGACCAATGGCATAGCATTAAACTAAAAAGTTTTCACACAGCAATGGAAGCAATTTAACAAAGTGAAGAGATGATCCACAGAATGGGAGAAAATAACTGCGAACTATACATCTGATAAAGGGTTAATATCCAAAATATATAAGGAACTCAAGTAACTCAATAGAAAGAAAACAAATGACCTGATTAAACAATGGGCAAAGGATCTGAACAGACATTTTTCAAAAGGAAGACCTACAAATAACCCATATATAAATGATTGATATGGTTTTGCTGTGTCCCCACCCAAATTTCATCTTGAACTGTAGCTCCCATAATTTCCACGTCGTGGGAGGAACCCAGTGGGAGGTAATTGAATCATGGAGATGGGTTTCTCCCGTGGTGTTCTAGTGATAGTGAATAAGTTGCATGAGATATGATGGTTGAATAAAGGGCAGTTCCCCTGCACGTGCTCTCTTGCCTGCCACTATGTAAGACACGTCTTTGCTCTTCCTTCACCTTGCACCATGATTTTGAGGCCTCCTCAGCCATGTGGAACTGTGAGTCCACTAAACCTCTTTTCTTTATAAATTACCAAGTCTCAGGTATGTCTTTATTAGCAGTGTGAGAACAGACTAATACAATGATAAAATACTTAGCATTGCTAAATATTAGGGAAATACAAATTAAAACTGCAATGAGATATTACCTTACACCTCTTGGAATATCTTTTATCAAAAACAAGAACAATAACAAGTATTATCTAAGATGTGGAGAAAAGAGAACTCTTGTACATTTTTGGTGGGAATATGAATTTGTACAGCCATTATGGAAAATGGTATGGAGGTTTCTCAAAAAACTAAAAATAATACTACCATATGATCAAGTAATCCTACTTCTGGATAAAAGGAACTTATTAAACATGTTCATTCAAGGTCAACAAGTTGCAGAGTTGGTAACAGTAATCTAACCTATCAGTGATATAATTCCAGTGTCTTTCTTCTGTACACTGTGAGTTGCTGAATAATTTATCAGAACATTAAATGGAGAATTGGCACATTTTGTTTCTACTGTTGCAAATTTTAGTGCTTATTAAATGTAGAAATATTTGCTAAATATTAGGAATATTACAATATACAAGTAACATGTATTTCCTGTCCTTAAGGAACTTCCTTGTGATGGTAGGATCAGATCAGGAGGCATTCATTGACAATTATAAGACAAAGGGAGGGGTGTTAAAATGCATTTTTGCATTTTGCCCATTTTGCATAACCCATTTTGCCCACTGACATAAGCAGTAGTAATAGTTGTATACAAATCATTTCTATCTACATCTCGGTATTATGGTTAATCTGATTGCAAAATATAATTTTGTGATGAACAGGTAGAGAAAAACAGGTGGCTGGTTTTCAAAATCCACTCAAATTAACATAGATGGAGAACAGAGACTATTCCCTTCATTGTGCTGGAAGTGCATGATCTTGCATGACTCAACTGGCATTAAAGAATAGTCAATACTGTTCAAGAAAAACATTTTTACAGATCCCTGGACACACCCTTTCATTCATGCTCCACTCTAGCAGCATGAATACTTCCCTCCAACAACACAGCCATGCAAATTCCTGCCAACCTGTGGGGTGGGATCTAGAAGGTGTATAAATAGTAAAGGGGAACAGATGAGAACATTTGTTTTTAAAATGACCTAGAATAATTTAAAATATGAAGTCTTCGGTCATAAAGTGAATTGAAAAACCATTTTCCCTTCTAAAGATAATATCTATTTTGTTTTTCATTTGATGTACATATGAGGTTAATTTTAAAAAATATTTTTAAAAAGTGACAAAATCAAATATTGACAAATCAAAATATTTATTTTGTCTATTTGGTATGTATAATATGAACAATTAAATGTCAACTTCAAATGCTATTTTAATATAATGAGAATCATAATACAAACAATGGTTGAGGGTAAAAAATAAATCTATATGTCACAGGATTTACCAAAGTTGTGATTAAAATTTTTGGAGAGAACTAGATTAAGCCCTGTGAGGTCGGGAACATTCTTAGCTACCAGTGTAGTATCTAACAAATTTAATTGTTGAATAAATTAAGAGAGGTCTTCTGCTTGTGAGCTAAATGTGCATTTGCCATTTGTCTCCTTTGAAAATACTTAGAATCTGGTTTTAGTGTTTCTGCCTGTGACATAGTTTTTGTAGCTTTTAAAAAGAAGTTGGAGAGTGTGTTATACAAACTTGGATTTGAAAATATTAGCAGTAAAGTGGCACATAATAATTTATTATATTTTAGGATACATTCAGCTGAGAATTTTATGACTAATAGACACTCAGTCTTACAGTCAATGAACACCTAATGAAAACTTTAAAATAAAAATGTAAAATCAATTTTGATATCTTGTGTGATAGTTAAAAATTACATTTGTATTTTAGTGAATAGCATATATGCATTGAAATTAAACAGCAATTTTAAAAGAATTGATTATGCTAGTATATTAGCTATATAGCCTTGGGATATATATTCTTGATCAGTGGCTCTAATTTTTTTCAGAGCTTGTAAATGGCTCGAAGTTGGTAATAAGCACCATAAATTGTATCAATTACTTAAAAGGATGCCTCCTTTTGTTTGTTTGCTTTTTTTTGCCTCCACCATGGCGAGTGGAAAATCAGCTAGTTATATTCAAGTTTTACCAACTGCAATTAAAATCCATAGGTCTCTCAATACAGTCAAGCATTGCCTGACATTTTCATTTTTTGATAAATTTTTATAAATTCTCATTATCACTTTGTGACTACTGGTGTCAAGAAGTTGTAAAAAATATCTCTTCCTAAATTTAAAAAAGACTAATTTAACTATTGAAGATAGGAAGGGTCCAGCTCCCTTAAATACTTTATTGTTATAATTATGACATATATAATATTTATATCTATATTTATAGATATAAACCAGCAATATGTTTCAAGTTATATATAAATAATAAGAGCCAACATTTTGCATTATGAAAATGGAGAAGTGAAATAAATGCAAAGTTCCACCTTACTCTTTCCTGCTCTTCCACTGATCAGTCATTCAAAAATATTATTAAGGTATACACAGGTAAGAAAATAGGCATTTTTATTAATGTCAATATACACTGATCAAAAAGTATTTATGTACTTCTTGATCAAAGATAAATGATTGAAAAACAGGCAGTTATTTGTTCCTCTATATCAGTTTTTTTTCTTTCAGACAGCATCTCACTCTGCCAGCCAGGCTGTAGTCCAGTGGAATAATCATGGCTCACTGCATCTCCCTGGGCTCTGGTGATCCTCCCACCTCAGCCTCCTGAGTAGCGATGATTACAGATGCATTCCACCATGCCTGGATAATTTTTTTTTAATTTTTTTGTAGAGACAGGGTTTCACCATGTTGTCCAGACTGGTCTCGAACTCCTGGGCTCAAACGATCAACCTGCCTCAGTCTCCCAAAGTGCTGGGATTACATGCATGAGCTACTGCACCCAGTCCCACTTTATCAAATTAACTAATATCTATCTCTATAGAATTAGTTCCTTTGGGTTTTCATACCATAAAATTTATTAAACATTAATTATGTGACAAGTTCTGTGCCAGACCCTAGGTATATAACTGTGACAAAAGCACTCAAGATTTTTGCCATTATGGAGAGGAACTGGGAAAGAGGAACAATAATCAATTTATTACAAATACTATTTGATATATAACAATGCTGTTATAAAGAACTGGTGTGTTGTGCTACCAGAGTATGTAACACAAGTTCTTGACCTGATTTATGGCTTATGAGAGTTCTCTCAGGAAATGAAAGTTGGCATGAATGAGAACTTTCTTCAAAGTTGAGAAGGCACTAGAGTATAGGGCACAGTTTTAGCAAAAGACTTGTGGTGGGAGAGAGGATGATTTATTCTGAGGAACTGAGAAAATGTCAGTGAAGCTGGAGCAGACAGCAAGGGTGGACTGTGTAAGACAAAGCAAGAAATGTAGGCAGCAATGAAATAGCATAAGGCGTTGCATACTATAGGACGGTACAAGACTTTCTTCTAAATAGGCCAACATGCTATTGAAGGGTTTCTAAGTAAGGGAGAAAAGCATGATGAAATTTTAGCTTTCAAAACATTACTTTAATGGTGGTATGAGGATAGGATTGGAAGACAGTGTGAGTGGATACGAAGAAACCAGTCAGGCAATTCAGAAATCAAGCCTGGGGAAAATGAATGCCTATACTAGGGTTACGAGAGACAGGCTAAAAAAGAGTGAGTGCATTTAAGAGAGGTTTAGGAATTGAAGTCTAAAAAATTGGTTGAATATGGGAGTAAGGCTAAGCATTAGGTTTCTAATTTATCCAGTCGTATGTGGATGTTGAGATAAGAAATAAGAAACACCAGAAGACAACCAGGTAGTTAATTTTGTAGAAATTGATTTGCTTTGTTCATTCATTCATTGTGTTAATTTGTTTTGGCAGGGAGAAATCAGGAATTTGTTTTTGGCCCTGTTGAGTTTGAGGCGCATTGAGATATCTAAGTGAAACTGTTCAGTAAATAATTCTACATACATGTTTGGAACTGATACGGCTTAGCTGTGCCCCCACACAAAATCTCATCTTGAATGGTAATCCCCATTACCCATAATCCTCATGTGTCAAGGGCAGGACCAGGTGGAGGTAACTGGATCATGGTGGCGGTTTTCCCCATGCTGTTCTTGTGATAGTGAATGAGTATCATGAGATCTGATGGTTATATAAGCATGTGACATTTCACTGGCTTGCACTCACTCTGTCCTGCCACCCTGTGAAAAAGTGCCTTGCTTCCCCTTTGCCATGATTTAAGTTTCCTGAGGCATCCCCAGCAATGCAGAACTGTGAGTCAATTAAATCTTTTTTGTTTATAAATTACTCAGTCTCAGGTATTTATTCAAGCAGTATGAGAACGAACTAACACAGAAACCCAGTAAAATTATCTGGGGTTAAAATGTAAATTTGCAAGATGTTGGTGTCTAGTTGGAATTGAAACTGTAGACTTGGATGAGAGAACAGAATGAGAAGAAGGCTTACAGTCTAGCCATAAAAAACTCTAACATCTAACAGTTGGGTTGAGGAGGCTGAGAGCTGATCAAAAGGTTGGTATAAGCAAGAGGTGTTTGTTATAGAGGAAAAACTGGGGAAGGTTTGAAGAAGGAAGAGCTAATCAAAAATATTGAAAACCAGCTGAGAGGATAGATCGGCAGTGTGTTTTTTATTGGAGTATATTCCTATTCAAAATCAGGTCAATAACTCAGAGGGCTGAAAAAAAATAGTCCGACATGAAATTTGACAGTGTAGTTGTCATTGGTGGTAAAGAATTTATTTTTGGTTTTATTTTTGTTTTTAGGCTGATGGGAAATACTTAAGGATTTAAAATTCCGATGAAGGGGATCCAAGTGAATGGAAGATTCTGCTGAGAATATTGAGATATTGATATGTATTTTGTGTTCACTCTACTTTTCTGTTTCCTTTTCTGAGAAGAGAGCCAGGTCTTGGCAATTTCTTCAAAGGATGGTTGACTGTGCCTTTCAGAATCTTGTTTTTCATGAAGTCTGAGTTCCTTGAGAGGATAATTTCATAAGGGTAGGAAGTGATGGGAGGGGTCTACCTAATAGGGCAGAGTAAGGGAAAGTTCACAAAATGCATATGTGTTGCTTTTGGGTATCTAACCAAGAGTTCCTCATGTAGTCATAGTGGAATTTCTGTGAGTAGAAGCTGATGATCTTCAAGGTTCTATAGACTCTTGCCAGAAGATTATGAGAAGACAGTAAAGGAGCTTGATAATTATTGCCAGGGATGAGTGCATTGCATGCTAGTTGATTGGCTTTTTCTCACCAAAAGTGAAAGTTACCCATGTTCAGCTTGTAGGCCCAGACTAGTCAAAGAGTAGTTGTTTCTTAAATATCCGTGTAGGGCCTTCAATCTTATGTAAAATTCATCTGTAATTTTTCCTTATGTGTTTTTTCTACATTGAATTATAACATATTTTATGGTTTTGATTATGTTTCCATTTGTTGAGCATATTCTACTCTCTTTCTGTGTTACTTTCATCCAGTCAGCATTTTACAGATTATACTATGTTAGCATTTAAAGATTTAGCTGTCTATTTTTGAATAGTATTATTTCTCAGTGCTGTGTTGCTAATGGGCAATAAAAGGATGTTTAGCTTTTGAAAGAAAATAGCCAACCTCTAAATGGCTGACTCAATGTTGTTCTCTGTGCATGTGATCTCTTGATTTTGTAGATGATAAGTTTATAGTAAAGCTCATTTAAACACTAGATCTTCAATCAGATTTTAGATCATCCAGTATTCAGAAGGTGATCATAATATGATCAATTGCTATTCTTATACATTACCAGTACAAATGTAGATTAAGGAGGATTCAATGCACCAAATCTCAATTTCTATAGATAAAACATGAACTTTCTATATTTTTATTCCCTATTACAAGCTTCATAATTAGATTTCTCTAAAATCTTCAGTAATTTTGGAATTATGTGTGTGTTCAATAACCATCTATTCACCGCACTGTAATCTCCATGTAGGCCAGGATGTCATAGTGAACAGAATGTTTGCAGTGACTTAGTGTCTGAAAAATAGCAAGCCCTCAGTCAATATTTATTTGAATGAATGTGTGAATGGATGGATAAGTTACATTTTCTATTAAAACCATTTGTTTCAGTACTCCAAGTTATTAAGATGTTTCCCAAACAACTTATCTTTTAATTAAATTCTTATCCTTTTATTTATTCATATATTTATTTAAAATCTTGTCTGTGCCAGACATAGTACTGGTAGCTGCTTTCACAATTTCCAGTGTAAGATGCATGCTGATCATACTTAGAAACCTACTGCATAGACTGCCCAAGGAAATTTCCAGACACAGAGATGTTTGGCTATGCAAACAGTGGCCTTCTGCCTTTCCATGTGTCCTAGAAAGAAATTCAGAGAAGGAAACAGCAGTAACTATTCAATTGCAAATATGTTTTAGTGATTATATGTAAGGAGAACTACACTGGCCACTGGCTGCATTTACTGTAGTTATAAATAAGGAGTCCTGGGAAAGGTTTGACAAGAACACATGTTTGGATCAAACAGTTCTGTTATGAAAAAGACAGATTGCTGTAAAGGTACTTCAGCCAGGAGATTCACTCACTGGCAGCTGCTATTATTAAAGCAGTAACAGAAAAAAAAAGACCTTTAGTATGATATTGATATCACCTTTGCTATTTATGCATACACAATTGGACATTTCCACAGTAACTCGGGAGGAAATTCATCCTAATCCACTTGAAAGCATAGCTATGTGTTGTCCTGGCATCCTTACTTATTAGTTCACAGAACAGGTAAATTAACATTTACTGAGAGTTGGGGCCATGCCAGGGTTTTATATATCTTCTCACATTTTATTCTTTAACAAATTCATATTCAGAAACTTATAGCAGTTCTGCATAAAGATGAAAACATTTAGACTCAGAGATTTTAATTTGCCCATGTCACACAGCTACTAAAACATGAAGTTAGAATTTGATTCCAATTCACTGAAAGTCAAAATTTCATGACTATCCCTTTATGCCACATTGACCAAATAGATACAGAACAATACCTATTCCAGGCCTTAAAGAAAATCCAGGTGTATAACAAAGTGAATAAATCAGCATATAATCCCCAGTGTCCATGCAGATTAATTTCAGGAATGAAAGGGTGATTCATTATTAGGAAATTCACTGTGTTAATTAATTTCATTAACAAATTAAAGAAGAAAAAGTAAGCAATTACATCCTGAAATGCTCCCTCCAAAAAGCATTTGATAAACATCAACAGCATTTATTCTTTTTTTTTTTTTTTTTGTGAGACGGAGTCTCGCTCTGTGGCCCAGGCGGGAGTGCAGTGGCGCAATCTTGGCTCACTGCAAGCTCCGCCTCCCGGGTTCACGCCATTCTCCTGCCTCAGCCTCCCGAGTAGCTGGGACTACAGGCGCCCGCCATCACGCCCGGCTAATTTTTTTTTGTATTTTTAGTAGAGACGGGGTTTCACCGTGTTAGCCAGGATGGTCTCGATCTCCTGACCTCGTGATCCACCCGCCTCGGCCTCCCAAAGTGCTGGGATTACAAGCGTGAGCCACCGCGCCCGGCCCAGCATTTATTCTTGATAAAAGCCAAGAAATAATAAAAGGGAACTTCTTAAATGTAATTAAAAATTAGTAACAGTTAATTGTTCACATATACATAAATGACTGTATTCCACAAGTGTTAGTTTGGAAAGAAGTTAGGATAATTTCTGTTACCACTATTGTTCAAATAATTTTTGGAATTTCTACCAAATACAATATGTTAAGCACAATTAATCACACTAAATATCACAAAAGGAGGGTCAATATCATAATTATTCTCAGATGATATTAATGTACTCCTAGAAAATTTTATTAAAATTTGTTAAATCTAATAAAATAAATGCTATTAAGTGACTAGGTACAAGACAAAGCTCAATAGTTTTTCTTTATGCTAAAAATCATTATTTTTAAACAAAATTTAAAAGATCTCATCTACAGGAGCAAAATCAAAAATACCAATACATACAATTAAGAAAGATATTCTTTGTAGAATGTTACTCTAAATACAATAAAAATTTAAATAATGGAATGATTAACTCATTATAGTAAATTTTACTGATGTAATACACAGCTAGCAAAAATGATAGAAAGTGTGTACTTAGTTGAAAAAGATGTTCATGACATACATGACATAATAATAAGACTAATATGTACATAATTTATGTTTGTGAGGAATATAGGTTTATATATGAATGTGAAGAATACACATGATTTATATGAAAATCATGGCATTATATCTCTATGTGTATATACATGCATGTGTGAATTCAGTGGTAGAATTCGTTAGTGAAGTCATCAAGTCCTGGCTTTCTTTGGTGGGAAACTTTTTATTACTGATTCAATATCCTTACTCATTATTCATTTTTTCAGATCTTCTATTTCTTCATAATTCAATATTGATAAATGGTATGTGTCAAGGAATTTATCCATTTCTTCTAAGTTATGCAATTTGTAGGCATATAATTGTTCATGATAGTCTTTTATGATTCTTTGGATTTCTGTGGTATCCGTTCTAATGTCTTTATTTTTATTTCTGTTTTTATATATTTGCGTTTTCTCTTTTTTTTCTTATTTAGTTTAGCTAAAGGTTTGTCAATTTTATCTTTTAAAAATACCATCTCGGTTTAATTGATCTTATCTATGTTTTTTCTGGTCTCTATTTCATTTATTTCTACTCTAGTATTTATCATTTCCTTCCTTCCACTAACTTTGAGCTTAGTTTGTTCTTGTTTTTCTAGTTCCTTGAGGTGCAACATTACATTGTTTATTTGAGATCATTCTATTTTGATGTAGACTTTTTATTTCTATCAACTTTCCTCTTAGAACTGCCTTTGCTATTTCTCATGGGTTTTAGTGTGTTGTGTTTTCATTTTAGTTTGTCTCAAGACAATTTTTAATTTACCTTTTAATTTATTCATTGACCTCTTAGTTCTTCAGGACCACATTTAATTTCCATGTAGGTGTGAATTTTCCAAAATTCTTTCTCTTATTGATTTCTAGCTCTTTTTTTCATTGTGGTCATTAAAGATATTTGACATGATTTCAATCTTCTTAAATTTGTTAGGACTGGTTTTGTGGCATAATATATAATCTGTCCTGGAGAATGTTCTATATCCACTTAAGAAGAATGTATATTCTGCAGCTGTTGGGTAGAATGTTCTGTATATGTCTGTTTGGTCCATTTAATCTAAACTCTATTTTAAGTCTGACATTACCTGAATTATTTTTTTGTCTGGAGGATCTACTCCCGAAAGCAGGGTCTTGAAGTCCCCACAATCATCATGTTGCAGTCTATTTTTTCTTTCAAATTTATTAATATTTGCTTGATATATTTACTTGCTCTGTCAGATGCCTATATATATGTATATATATGTACAACTGTTATATCCTCTTGCAGAATTGACCTCTTTATCATTATATAATGACCTTCCTTCTCTATTTTTATAATTTTTGACTTAAAGTCTACTTTATCTGATATAATTACAGCTACTCCTGCCCTCTTTTGGTTTCCATTTGCATGAAAGATCTTTTTCCATCCCTTCACTGTCAGTTTATGTGTGTCCTTACAGGTGAAGTTAGTTTGTTGTAGGTAGTATATAGCTAGGTCCTGTTTTTTTTTTAATCTATTCAGCCACTCTATGTCTTCTGATTGAAGAATTTAATCCATATACATTCAATATAATTATTGATAGGTAAAGATTCATTTTGTTAATTTTTTTAGTTTTTTTTTTGATACTTCCTTTCTTTCTCTCTTGCTGTCTTCCTTTGCATCTAAACGTTTTTCTCTAGTGCTATGTTTTCATTCCTAGTTTTTATTTTTTGTGCATCTAATATAGGCTTTTGCTTTGTGGTAACCATGAGGCTTACAGAGCATATTATAGTTATAGCAGGTTATTTTAAGTTGATGACAACTTAACTTTGACTGTGGGGGGTGGAGAGGAACCTCCACATCCCTCTCCATGTGAAGATGTTGAGAAAGTGTTTGAGGTTTGAAGAGCTTGGTCATGTGAAGTAGTCATTTAGGGAAGAGGGAGGTGAATGTACTATGCAAATGTATTACGTTTGCTGTTGAAACAAATAATTGGGGAAAAATAGTAAAATGCGGCTAGCATTAGTTTAAAATTCTCTCTATAAGAGTAAGTCTTTCTTGTACTTTTGCCCTTTCCCTTTTTATTTCTAACAACCTGTTTTGGCACTTACTTCTCCAAGTTAATCACCATCGTGTGCCCCCAACTCGATATTTCTCATCTTCTGCCATAAGCCATCTGCTTTTTCCTTGAGATTGTATCTTTTTATCTCTTCTTACCACTATCCAATTCACTCCAGGTTTTGCTCAGTAACCACTATGCTGCCGTTCACTGCAGGCGACAAATCAACTCACACTAGTTAAGAGAGTAAAGGCATGGAATTTATTGGCTCATGTGATAGGCCAGATGTAAAGAAGTTTTCAGAATGAGTTGACCTAGAGTCTTAATGACATAGCCATGCATTTAGTTTCCTTTAATCTCTCCCTGCTGCTGTCTACTCTTCTAGCTTTATCTAAGTCGATGTTTCTCAACTGGGGAAGATTTTGCCCCCGAGGGGACACATTTGACAATATTGGAAATGATTTTTATTGCCATGACTGGAAGGGTGCTACTAGCATCTAGTTTTATAGGCCAGAGATGTTGTTAAACATCCTATAATATCCCTACAGTAAAGAATTATCTGGCCCAGGTAACCCTGATATGTCATTAAATAATCGTTGTAGTAGCAATAAGGGCTATACATTTTATTCACATCCAGTAGGAAAGGGACAGAGGGCTGTCATTCTTCTGTAGTTTGTTTGTGAGAGTGAGGAAACTTCTTAGAAGCCCTCTAAATATTTTCTCATGTCTCATAAGACCAAGTTGGCCAAAGGACTCATCCCAATCACTGCCAAAGGGAATTGGATTATTTTAAGTATCTTCAATAATAATAAATCAGAATCCAGCCTTGGTCACAAAATTGTACTGATGCTATTTGTTGGGGTGATAAACTGGATGTTGAGGAGTCAACAATAATCACTATATCAACTACATTTTTAACTAATCGATGCTAGTAAATGTATGAATAAATAAATATAGTTTTAAGGAGTTAACAGGTGATTTCTGTTTATGTGACATGCTCGATATTCAACTGTCTTATTTTGTTTTTACATCTAAGAGGTGCAAAGTAGGCAAGAAAGCCAAGAGAGATAGACAGATTATGCTTCCCTTTATACACATTGTCAGCATTAGCACTCTCTTAGGTTTGGGTCGGTGGATACCTCACTTTAGAATAGAGAAGGTTAAAATGAGAAATAAAAATACTACTGGAGAACAAGTTCCAGATGTCCACTAAGAGCATTCCTCAGGTACATAGTAACTTTTTGCTACCAGTGGAGCTGCAGAAAGCATTCAATTAGCAGTTACCTGACAGCCAAAACACTCAGCACAGCACCAACTCATGAAAAATGTGAAGGGTCAGGCCATTGTTTTTCCTTTTTTTTTCCCCCAAATCTTGGGTACCAGATGACTTAATTATTTACATAATTAAAAGCAATATCTTTTAATGCTAGGATTTCAGAACTGTAGTATACTAATGAGAAAGACTGTTTATGGCAGATAGAATTTGTGTGCGTTTGTGTACATACCTGCACCTCTCAAGTCAACCTAGGCATCCAGAGACTAGTCACACTTTTGCAATGAACCAGCTGTGTGGGCAAGTCAATGAACCCTTGGAACATTTCCCTCTTTTGTAAATGAGAGGTTTGGGCTAGAAGATTTCTGATGTCTGTGCTTCAACATTCTTACAGCCTATGACCAAAGCATTTACCTGCCCATATATTGCTGAAGACTTTTGAAAAAAAGATTATTTCATAATTTATACTGCCGCATAGAATTAAATTTAACTATGTTTGAAGAAGGCATTTGGATGCTTTATGCCTTATAATTCCCTTGCAGGGCTACCAATAAATGTCTATCCAAATCAATAAACATTTATTGGATGCCACTTGTGTGCAAAGGATGCTGCTAGGCACTAGGAAACACATAATCATGTAACATACAAAGGCATAACTACAATTCTTTCATGTCCTATTTTGTATACTTATCTGTCCTTTCACAGTAGCTCTAGGGGAGTATGTGGATGTAGCATATGCTATCTTAGTCTATTGGGACTGTTATAACAAAAGACCATAAACTTGGTAGCTTATAAACAACAGAAATTTATTTCTCACAGTTCTAGAGGCTGGGAAGTTCAATATCAAGTTGCTGGCAGATTTGGTATCTGGTGAGAAACCACGTTCTGGTTCACAGATGGTGCCTTCTTGCTGTGTCCTAACATATTGAAGAAGAGAGGGGTCTCTCATAAACATCTTTTATAAGGGCTCTGTGATGGTTAATAATGAGTGTCAACTTGATTGGATTGAAGGATACAAAACATTAATCCTGTGTGCATCTGTCAGGGTGTTGCCAAAGGAGATTAATATTTGAGTTAGTGGGCTGTGAAATGTAGACCCACCCTTAATCTGGGTGGGCACAATCTAATCAGTTGCCAGCCCAGCTAGAATATAAGCAGGCAGAAAAATGTGAAAAGACAGACTGGCCTAGCCTCCCAGCCTGCATCTTTCCCCCCTGCTGTATGCTTCCTGCCATAGAACATCGAGCTCCAAGTTCTTCAGTTTTGGAACTCAGACTGGCTCTCCTTGCTCCTCCTTCTGCAGACAGTCTATTGTGGGACCTTGGGATCACGTGAGTTAATACTTAATAAACTCCCTTTTATATATATATTAAGAATGGAGTTCTTTCATTGGTTTTGGGGGTTTCTGGAGTTGGCTGCTAAAATCTGATCAGACCCAAAATGCTAAGGATTCTGCTTCTAATAGTATGGAGAACACTGATAGTCCTTGGAATGAACTATTTAGAGATTTATGCAAAATAAATGCATTTAAAAATCCTGATTGATCAGTCGTGAGAGGCAAGGAGTTTAGTAACTGTATACATAATACCTTTGGCCATATGTGGAGAACCAAGAAACATAATGAAGAAAGATGGCTGTTCCTAAGTTCAGTGGACAAAGTGATGAAAGAAAATGATGAACTCAGGGTTCAGAAGCACATACTGAGCCTTAAGTCTGTTAAGATTGCCCTGAGTGAGAGTCTTATCTCCAGTAGAGAAAGAGCTGAAATTGTGGAGAAACAGATATGAGCTCTTATCTTGCGAGTGGCTTACCTGCAACTAAAAATGCATGCACAGCCTTGCCAGATGTCGACTGTTAAAGTGAGGGTATTGATTGGAAAAGAAGGGAACCCTGAAACTTGGAATGGGGATGTGTGGGGGGACCCTGATGAATCTGGGGACATTGAGTTTGTAAACTCTGATGAACCTTTTTGCCAGACAAGACAGCTTCACCATCCCCAGCAGTGGCAACATCCTCTCCCCAACTGATGTTGCCATCAGCCTTTCCACCTTTGTCTGAGGAGATAAACCCTGTGCTGCCTGAGGCAACAGTGATGGCCTCCCCTGAGGGAGTTGCCAGGCAAGATTTTGTTGATTCTCTTCAGAAGCCACCCCCAACATCCCTGTTTGCTTCTAGACCTATAACTAGATTAAAAGTCCCAGCAGGCCCCTAGAGGTGAGGTTGAGAATGTGATCCATGAGGTGGTGGGCTACACTGTGAAAGAACTGCTTGAGTTTTCTAATTTGTATGAAGAGAAATCTGGAGAACAGGCATTGGAATGGATATTATGGGTATGGGATAATGGTGGAAGGAACATCCAGTTGGATCAGGTTGAATTTATTGATTTGGGTCCACTAAGTAAGGACTCTGCATTTAATGTTTTAGCTCAAGGAATTAAAAAAGGTTCTAATAGTTTATTTTCTTGGTTAGCTGAAATATGGATTAAAAGATGGCGCACTGTGAGTAAGCTGGAAATGCCTGATATCCCTTGGTTTAATGTAGAGGAAGAGATCAAAAGGCTTAGGGAGATTGGTATGTTGTAGTGGATTAGTCACTTTAGACCTACTCATCACAGCTGGAAGGGTCCAGAAGATATACTCTTGACCAATGCCTTGCGAAATAGATTTGTGAGGACAGCACCTGCATCTTTGAAGAGCCCTGTGATTGCTCTTCTCTGTAGGTCAGATCTAATGGAGGGAACTGCAGTCACTCAATTACAAAATTTAAATACGGTGGGAATAACTAGATTCCAAGGAGGCAGAGGCCAAGTGGCAGCACTCAACAGTCAAAGGCAAGGTGGGTGTAATTACAGTAATGAACAGCAGAGACAAAGCGGCAATCAGAACAGTCTGACTATGTAGAGCTCTGGCATTGGCTAATTGACCATGGTGTTCCTAGAAGTGAAATTGATAGGAAGGCTGCTGCATTCCTACTTAATTTATAAAAGCAGAACACTTCTAGGTTGAATGGACAAAAGACTAATTTGAATTATAAAAACAGAGAATCATGGCCCTTCAATCAATTTCCAGACTTGAGCCAGCTTACAGACCAAGAACCCCTTGAATGAAGGGGAGGCCGGGTACCCTTGAGAAAGGACCCCACTACATTACCAGCAATGTATACTGTTAATCTTTCTCCCATCCTTCCCCATGGAGACGTCCTGCCTTTTACCAGGGTAACTGTGCAGTGGGGAAAGGGAAATGATCAGACATTTCAGAGACTACTGGATACTGGCTCTGAGCTGACTTAGATTCCAGGGGACCCAAAACGTCATTGTGGTCCTCCAGTTAAAGTAGGGGGTTATGGAGGTCAGGTAATTAATGGAGTTTTAGCTCAGGTCTCACTTACAGTGGGCCCATTGGGTCCCCGGACTCATCCTGTGGTCATTTCCCCAGTGCCAGAATGCATAATTGGCATAGACATACTTAGCAGCTGGCAGAATCCCCACATTGGCTCCATGACTGGTAGGGTGAGGGCTATTGTGGTGGGAAAGGCCAAATGGAAGCCATTAGAGCTGCCTCTACCTAAAAAAATGAGTAAATCCAAAACAATATTGCATTCCTGAAGGGATTGTGGGGATTAGTGCCACCATCAAGGACTCGAAAGACACATAGGTGGTGATTCCCACCACATCTCAGTTTAACTCTCCCATTTGGCCTGTGCGGAAGACAGATGTATCTTGGAGACTGACAGTGGATTATCGTAAGCTTAACCAAGTGATGCTGTATCAGATGTGGTTTCATTGCTTGAGCAAATTAACACATTTCCTTGTACCTGGTAGGCAGCCATTGACTTGGCAAATGCATTTTTCTCCATTTCTGTCCATAAGGCCCACCAGAAGCAATTTGCCTTCAGCTGGCAAGGCCGGCAATATACCTTTACTGTCCAACCTCAGGGGTATATCAACTTTCCAGCTTTGTGTCATAATCTTATTTGGAGATAATTTGATTGCTTTTCGCTTCTGCAAGATATCACACTGGTCCATTATATTGATGACATTATGCTGATTGGATCCAGTGAGCAAGAAGTAGCAAACATACTGGACTTATTGGTGACACTTTTGCATACCAGAGGATGGGAAATAAATTTGACTAAAATTCAGGGACCTTCTATCTCAGTAAAATTTATGGAGGTCCAATGGTGTGGGGCCCATTGAGATATATCCTGTAAGGTAAAGGGTATGTTGCTGCATTTGGCCCCTCCTAAAACTAAGAAAGAGACACAACACTTTGTAGGCCTATTTGGATTTTGGAGGCAACACATTCCTCATTTCAGTGTGTTACTCTGGCCAATTTATCAGGTGACCTGAAAGGTTGCTAGCTTTGAGTGGTGTCCAGAAGAGGAAAAGGCTCTGCAACAGGTCCAGGCTGCTGTGCAATCTGCTCTGCCACTTGGGCGTTATAACTTAGCAGATCCAATGGTGCTTGAGGTGTCAGCGGCAGACGGAGATGCTGTTTGCAGCCCCTGGCAGGCCCCCATAAGTAAATCACAGCAGAGGCTGCCAGGATTTTGGAGCAAGGCCCTGCCATCTTCTGCAGATAACTAGCTTCCTTTTGAGAGACATCTCTTGGCCTGTTACTGGGCTTTGGTGGAAACTGAATGTTTGATTGGGTCATCAAGTCACCATGTGACCTGAACTGCCTATCACGAACTGGATGCTTTCCTACCCATCTAGCCATAAAGTGGGTCATGCACAGAGGCAGTCCATCATCAAATGGAAGTGGTGCGTATGTGACTGGGCTCGAGCAGGTCCTGAAGGAACAAGTAAGTTACATGAGGAGGTGGCTCAAATGCCCATGGTCTCCACTCCTGTCACCCTGCCTTCTCTCCCACTGCCTGCACTGGTGGCCTCATGGCAAGTTCCCTATGATCAGTTGACAGCGGAAGAGAAGGCTAGAGTATGGTTCACAGAGGGTTCTCTATGATATGCAGGCTTAACCCAAAAGTGGACAGCTGCAGCATTACAGCCCCTTTCTAGGACATCTCTGAAGGACAGCGGTGAAGGAAAATCTTCCCAGTGGGCAGAACTTCAAGGAGTGAACCTGGTTGTGCACTTTGCATAGAAGGAGAAGTGGCCAGATATGTTATTATATACTGATTAATGGGCTGTAGCCAATGGTTTGGGTGTATAGTCAGGGACATGGAAGAAGCATGGACAAAGAAATTTGGGGAAGAGGTATGTGGATGGACCTCTCTGAGTGGTTAAAAACTGTAAAGATATTTGTATCCCATGTGAGTGCTCACCAAAGGGTGACCTCAGAAGAGGAAGATTTTAATAATCAAGTGGATAGGATGACCCTTTCTGTGGACACCACTCAGCCTCTTTCCCCAGCCACCACCATCATTGCCCAATGGGCCCATGAACAAAGTGTCCATGGTAGCAGGGATGGAGGTTATGCATGGGCTCAGCAACATGGACTTCCACTCACCAAGGCTGACCAGGCTACAGCCACTGCTGAGTGCCCAATTTGCCAGCAGCAAAGACCAAGACTGAGCCCTCAATATGGCACCATTCCTCGGGGTGATCAGCCAGCTACCTGGTGGCAGGTTTATTATATTGGACCTCTTCCATCATGGAAAGGGCAGAGGTTTGTCCTCACTGGAATACACACTTACTCTGGATATGGGTTTGCCTATCCTGCACACAATGCATCTGCCAAGACTGCCGTCCATGAACCATGGAATTCCTTATCCACCGTCATGGTATTCCACACAGCATTGCCTCCGACCAAGACATTCACTCTGTGGCTAAAGAAGGAGGGCAGTGGGCTCAAACTCATGGAATTCACTGGTCTTACCATGTTCCCCATCATCCTGAAGCAACTGGAATGATAGAATGGTGGAATGCCATTTTGAAATCAAAATTACACCACCAACTAGGTGACAGTACTTTGCAGGGCTGGAGCAAAGTTCTCCAGAAGGCTGTGTTTGTTCTGAATCAGCATCTAATATATGGTACTGTTTCTCCCATAGCCAGGATTCATAGGTCCAGGAAGCAAGGGGTGGAAGTGGAAGTGGCACCACTCACCATCACCCCTAGTGATCCACCAGCAAAATTTTTGCTTCCTGTTCCCATGACATTACATTCTGCTGACCTAGAGGTCTTAGTTCCATAGGGAGGAATGCTGCCACCAGGAGATACAACAAGGATTCTATCAAACTGAAAGTTGAGATTGCCACCTGGATACTTTGGCCTTCTCCTACCTTTAAGTCAACAGGCTAAGAAGAGAGTTACAGTGTTGGCTGGGGTGATTGACCCAGACTATTAAGATGAAATCAGTCTACTACTCCACAACAAAGGTAAGGAAGAGAATGCATGGAATACAGCAGATCCATTAGGATGTCTCTTAGTATTACCATGTCCTGTGATTAAGATCAATGGGAAACTACAACAGCCCAATCCAGGGAGGACTACAAATGACCTCCCTTCTGGAATGACTTCTGGACTGACTACAGATGACTTCTGGAATGAAGTTTTGGGTCACTCCACCAGGAAAAAACCCCACTACCTGCTGAGGTGCTTGCTGAAGGCAAAGGGAATACAGAATGGGGAGTAGAATAAGGTAGTCATAAATAACAGCTACGACCACGTGACCAGCCACAGAAATGAGGACTGTAATTGGGTCCTGAGTATTTCTTTCTTCTTTTGTTAAAAACATGTTTGTGCATGTATACACTTGTACTAAGAAAATATCTTCATTTTATTTCCTCTCTTCTTTATCATGTGACATAAGATTTATTGACTTCACATCAGCATTTAAGTATTGTTAACTTTTTGTAATAGTATTGGGGTTGGGGATTGGTGCATTTCTGGTTGTACAAAGGAAAGTTGTATCATGTTAGATGTGATTATGACCTTATCATTGTCTTTTTTTGAAGATTATGTATGATCTCAGGAGACGTATATAGGATCAAGTTGACAAGGGGTGGACTTGTGATGGTTAATACTGTGTGTCCACTTGAAGGATACAAAGTATTGATCCTTGGTGTGTCTGTGAGGGTGCTGCCAAAGGAGATTAATATTTGAGTTAGTGGGATGGCACAGACAAACTCACCCTTAATCTGGGTGGGCACAATCTAATCATCTGCTAGCGCAGCTAGAATATAAGCAGGCAGCAAAATGTGAAAAGAAGCCTGTCCTAGCCTTTCAGCCTACATCTTTCTCCCATGTTGGGTGCTTCCTGCCCTCGAACGTCAGACTCCAAGTTCTTCAGTTTTGGAACTTGGATTGGTTCTCCTTGCTCCTCGGCCTGTAGATGGCCTACTGTGGGACCTTGTGATCGTGTGAGTTAATACTTAACAAACTCATCTATATATTGACATGTATATACACACACATATATAATTATGTATATATACATAATCATATATATATACATATATATATATATTCCATTAGTTCTGTCCCTCTGGAGAAGCCTGACTAATACAGGCTCTTATCTCATTGATGAGGGGTCCACCCTCATGAACCAGTCACCTCCCAGCAGCCCCACCTCCTAATGCCATTACCTTGGGGATTAGGATTTCAACATATAAATTTTGGGGGTATACAAAGACTCACTTCATAGCATATGCATAATTTTAACATAAGAAGACATTTTTTTCTTGCAAGCAAAGATGTATTTTAACTTATTTTGATGAAATCGTGCAGCATATAACTACGTTACTATTAAAACGTTCAATGACATCATTGGTACTCTATTGAATTTTCCATTTGATAGTTTTTAGGCCTTATTTGTATTTAGCACTATTTCATTATATCATGATGCATTAAATTGTGTTGGTTAAGACCATGAATTTTAAAACTAGACTACAGATTTGAATCCTCACTATGTCATTTAGTAGCAGTGATCTTGGGTAGAATATGTAAAATCTCTGC
Organism: Homo sapiens; assembly: GCF_000001405.40. NCBI lineage: Eukaryota > Metazoa > Chordata > Mammalia > Primates > Hominidae > Homo > Homo sapiens. Next base: position 8,895 of record NW_025791764.1, on the reverse strand, counting down.
ATCTCATTTCATTATCCATAAAATATGGGAAGAAGTAACACCCAGACCATAGGGATGTTATGAGGATTAAATAGATTATTCCATTTGAAGTGTTGATAATAGTGCCTGGAACATGGTAAGAGTTCAAAAAACATTAAATATTGCTATTATTATTTCCATTTTTCCTGGTAATTTTATAATAAAAATCAATGGAAAGATAGGATTCAGAAACCTATATTAACTCTAAAGTATTTTATTAGACATATTAATTTTATTGAGAAATATTTGCAATTATATGTGCATGTGCATATATATGTATATATATATCTGAGATTGAGTAACCGTATAATTTATAACTAAAGATGGATTGTGTTGTACTTAATAATTTTACTTAATGGTGGGTCATTGTGTGCAAATGTGAGCAAGTGTCTCTCTCTACCAAGTCCAAAACTTTTAATTACCTTAAATTTTTATAAAAACTTGGGTCTCTGAAAGGAGAAAACTTTTCCAGAGAAAAACACTTTTTGGAACAATTATTTACTTCATATTACAGCAAGAAGGAGAGCATATAAACTATAATTTAATGATGCTCTTGCAGCTGGGCAGTCTGACTTGGAGGGAAATGAGGGATTAGTTGATGAGCTGGAAAGAATCAGTAGGTATATGTATTTGAGTACAGTGTGTGGACGGGGTGAGGACAGAGCAGAGAAGCAGGTGTGAGAAGGTGGAAACAGGGCACACTGTGAAAACAACAAGAAATGTGTTTTGGGATAAGTGGTAGGATAAGGGGAAGTAAAGGGTTGTTTACAAGTCTGTGCTTGTAGTTGAGCCTCTCAGACAAGGCAGCACCAGGAAGTGCTGATGTGTGCATTTGAGAACATTGTTTGGAAATGATTCATTTTGTTTAGACCCAGACACAGGATCAGAGCTGGAAGGGGCCTAAAAATTCTGTCTCCAAAATCATCCAAAACAGATGATGATCGTCTATGCTAATTATAAAGCCTCCTAAAGGAGGTTTTTCACCATCTAATAAAACGAGACCTTAAGTGACAGCCATCATCAATATAAGTACGTTTCAGTAGTTACTAAGGCAAGTACAAAGACAATGATATTTAATGAATTAACATTTGCATCAAACTGGATAATCCTATTACATTCTACTTTCTCTTATTCTAATTTTATTTGATTCATCAATTTAAAATGAAAAATATTTTTATTTATTCATTTTAAATTAGAAAATGCACGTATTTATGCCTTCCTCATTTGTCCTACTGGCTTTGATGTTTTAACTTTTGTTCTCAAAAACTCAGCTTTAGTATCAGACTCCTGGGCCAATTGCATCTGTCATTCTCTAGTCATGATGATTATTAAGGGAGGAAAAGCATAATGAAATGAAGATGTTCCTTTCTGTATCATCTTGAATTATTTTCTTACAGGACTTTGCAGGAGAGGTGGAATGGAAAGAATAAAGAACAAATCAAAGGGTAAAATCAAGAAAATCAGCAAAGGCAGAAAAGTCAGAATAAGGACATGTATTGAAATAAGACTGAGAGAAGTCTCGGCCATGAAATTTTATAGATTATTTTCCATAAAATTTATGTCATGTTTAAATAATTGGTTTGGAATCAGGATCATCCTTTTCTTTGGTGGTTTATAGGCATCTTTGTCATGAAACTTTAGTCCAGATATCATTTCTATGTCTGAGATCTGCTAATCTGTTTGTCCACTGCCGTTGAATGGCAGTAAAGATATAAAACAGAGTGAGTCCTTGGGAATTCTGTAAACAAGAGAGGATTCCTCCAGCAAACCAGAGATGGGACAAACTTGTAGAACTCCGAAAGTGGGAAGGGATATACTGATAGATAAAGTAGATGTGTGAAAAAAAAGTTATAGTTTGGAAATGGTATAGGAGTAAGAAGCTACACATTAGGAAGAAGCTCTTCCTGGCTGAGCCTCAGAGAAATTATAAATTTGGAGCTGGAAGGCCAAAAAAGAGTAGACTTGAGTAGAGTCACAGAAATATATGTGGTCTAAGGTGGCTCCTCGTTCTCCCACATATGTTTGAGCAGAATTCTACAATAGTAGTTCACAGATGGAAACCCAATGATTACCTTCTATAATGAGTGACTAATAGACATGGAGAGGAGTTAATCATAAAGTGTATAGTGAGTTGAATGAAGTAAAGAAGAACCTAAAAGGAAACCATATTTCCACAATGTTCTGGGAAGAACTGGTACCTAACAGAACAATATTTTGGAGAATTATTCTACTGCCAAGTAACATATTTTATTTTGACATTTTTGAAGTTATTGAGCTATCTTCCCTACTCCAAGTTTATACACTATAAAGGAAAGCTTGATTTTCAACAGAATCCATCAACTTTCATGGAACTCTCAATGAGCTCTTCCTATTCAGGTACACAGACTTACACTACTAAAAAAAGTATGATAGCAATTTATGCTGAGTAATATAAAATTATGTTAATAAATATGAATGTATAACCAAGAATAACTAGGCATTTGAAGAATACTAATAGTCTGTAAGAGAAAGACCAAGGTGGACAAACAGATTAGCAGATCTTAGACATAGAAATGATATAAAAAAAAGTAGAGAATTTTAAAATTTGAATGTGTCCTTCGAGATATTTGAGAACATATATCATCCATAAGTCAAGAACAAGTTATTGGAGAATAGGAGTAATTATAGACCAAGAAGAGTTCTTTAAAATAAAAAATACACAGCAAATAATTTAAAAATAATCCAGAGCTATTAAAAAAAGAATTAGCACATTGGAAATAAAATTGAGCAAAATGACCAGACCACACAGCAAAGGGAAAAAAGATGAAACAAGTTATTAGATAGGGAAAACCCAGAGAACTCACATCCTAGCACATACTGGAAATGCCCAGAAGAGAGAAAATAGAACTGGGGATGAGGATATTCAAATAAACAATTGGTCAAGGAGTCCACAGAAAGAACAGATGTTTGAGCAAGAAGATGAGAGAGTGTCTTTCAGATAACAGGAGGGAAAGAAAGGACTGTTTCTTCAGAGCCCAGAGGTGAGAATGTCTCCAGCTTTTCAAGTCACTGTGACTGCAGCTGAATGGCCAAGGGTGAGGGGAGTTGGATATGAGGTAAGAGAAGTCATAGGAGCCAGATTTTTTTGGTCCTTGTTGTGTTGACCCCTGTTAGGTGAATGGGGATGATTGGACAGTTCTGAGCAGAAAGAATTACATGATTTGACCTAGTTTTTAAAAGGATGACACTGACTGCTATTCTTAGTTAAAGTATGTTTTGAACAATTTTTTTTTCATGAAGACTATGTGGGTTTTAATCTGAGTCCTTGAGTATTTGATACTGTCTTTCTATTGTTTTTATTGTGTGAGTAGAATTGGGTTGGCTCTTAAACCTTTTCCCTGAAAATGCAGTAGATATTACAGTATCTTTTAGCATTTAATGTGGTAGAAGAGTAATAAGAAATGATTCTTATTTTTCTTTTTGTGTAGGTAACATTTATTTTGTTTTTTAATGGAAGTCTTTGATATTGTTTATCTTTGAACCTCAAATATTTCACCAGTGGTATCTAAGCAGTGACCATTCACCATTAATTTTATTCCATATATATGAGTCCACCCTTTTTATAGTACTACAATATTTATTTAGCTCTTATCATGTGTAACTATTTTATTTAATCCTTGCAACAGCTCTGTGAGGAGTTTACTATTATTATCTCCATTTCATATATTCATTCATGCCTTTGTTACAGCTGACAACACGGTCCTTTGTGTTCTCGGCATCTCTACCTGCTGTTTGAGTCTCTTTGAGGCTGGGTTGGGATGAGTCTTGCTCGCGTTTCAATCTTGTTGGATTGACGAGAGGTGTTAGCGCGAGTAAGGGCAGGCATAACTGTGGGAACAGTGTGGTCGTTGTGGGGAAAGAGGAGCCAGAGGGAGATCGGTAGGTCCAGGGCTTTCTCAGCATAAGCCCAGTCCTCCATTAACCCTCACCTCAGGTAAGACATTGACGTGGGGCCTGAAGACAGAGTGAGCCCTTTTGATCTCTACATTTCAGCCTTTCTTCAGCTAAGAACAGTTTTGTCTCTTCTACATGGCTCCATACTTTTAGGTAAAACTATCTTTTGTTATTTCCTGAAACATATTTCTCCCAAGATGTTTGGTGATCTGTGGTGCCTGTCTAAGCACACGATAATACTCAAGGGGAATGGCTACTACGCTAGACACTTTTGGCTGCCTACCGAAAGCCACTCCCCAAATGTTTTTTTCCTGCTAATGGAGCCCATTTTGTTTAAGTGGTGGTCTAAGAGCCCTTGATCTCTAGAAAATAAGGCAATCTGCCAAACCCATTAAATGAGCTGTGATTTGTTTATGCCAATCATGGTAACTTTAACTCTCATCTGATAGAAAATTATTTTTCTGGACTTCTTGCAGGTGGGAGTAACCAAGTGATCACAGAGACATTCTGCTCAGTGGAGGTGGTTCTAAAAAGTAAATTTATTTCCCAGTGAAAGAGATAGTCTTGAGACTAATGTTAGATTTCCCCTTCTTCCTGCTCTGAAGATGACTATAACCTGCCTTGAGCTATGACAGACACCTGTAACTTGGAAGATGCAAAAAAAATGAAAACATGGTAAAGCAGGAAGAATAAGCCTGGATTCTTGCTGACATCACTGAGCTCCCTGGCCGAGATTGTGAGGGTTTTAAACTAAGAAAACAATACATATTTTTATGGTTTAAGCCACTGTCATTGAGGTAGTGTGTTAATTGCTGCCAAATCTTTCTTAACAAACACAGCTATTTAGAAAATAGTATTTGATAGGATTATTGAAATATTAAATATCCCCCCACAAAAAACAAGGTAAATAGTAATGATTTCCTCATTAAGGGTACATTTAGATTCCCTGATATTTTTAATTTAGCTTTAAAGATAGAGGTTATATGATAAACAACAAGTCTTGAAGAAGGTTAGTTCTGCATACTTATTACAATTATTTATCTAGCAGTAGAGCCCATTTGAAAGTTTAATTCCAATTTGATTTGAAGCAATAGTCACAGGGTAATTAATTCTTGCATATTTGATTCTCAAATGTGGTTTCCCACTAAAAATTATCTCTTTAATATAGTTTAGATAATATTGAAGTAAATTTAGATAATTTTGGGATCTTTGCAATAGGTAGTGGTAATATTTTAATACCTTTCATATGTAGACAGACATGTAGACAGGAGGTGGTTGTGGACATCAGATTGATTATTAGTCAAAATCCAACATAAATATTTAACTTCTTAACTGGGGCTAGGACTGAAAATAGAGGACATGGGGAGGAAAATATATACTATCAGCCTACTCACAGAACATGGCTGGTAATGGGTGAAATAACAAACCCAATTTGAGCATATGAGTCAACTGTGTTATCCTCATTTTAGAAAAAGGGTAATGTGCAATAAACTTTAAGAAATGTAACAAAATACTTTCAACATATGTTCTTCAGTAACGGCTGAGTTCTTTCAAGACTTTTGTGCCCGCTTATAATCCTACAACTGAAGAGGAAAAAAATTTGGAAAAGTTTCAGGGGTCATCGACATGATAATTAATTAACTGGGAATAAAAGTGATGAGTAAGTTCCAAAGAACCTTTTCATGTTTAGTCTTCGTTAAACACTGAGAGATGGGCCTGATCTCTAAGTATATAAAAGATGAATATACAAAGGAGAGAAGCTAGCTGTTCTCCTTCTTTACCGGTGACTGAAAAGGCAAAAATGGACCCAAATTGTGATGATCTTGAGGACATAGGCCTAGGCAAAGTCTACTGTTTGTGTAACATGGGAATGATGTGCCACTCCTTTCCTCAAAGGATATTCTGGGATGTTTGACCCTTAAAGAAGCCTTCCAACTCTATTTCATGATTCCAAAAGAGAATCAAGTTATGTTTGAACAAGATAAAATAATAAGTAGGAGAAAAAAACTTTCAGTATGTTAACAACAGCATACAAACTCGGATTAGTCATTAGTCACTCTTTGTTCTCCACTAGAAAATTCATAACTCTAAAAATGAAAAGGAATGTTTGGTGGGCGGAGATCAATTTGAAGAATAATAAAGTTTAAAGTTATTTATAAATTACAAAATTAGGCCATCTCAAATAACCTATTAGTGTAATACGAATTTAGCATGCTTTGGCTTAAATGGAGATTTAACTATTAATGTGTCCTCTTCTTCCCACTGAACATGGTGTGATAGACGATCCCTAACATCTCAAAATCTTCTGCTGGGGGCTTTTTGTCTGGAGTGATCTTTGGTTATACACTAGGTGCAAAGGTATTTTCAAGCCATCTTCCCTGGATAAGATGACATTTCCACTGACACATGTTTTAACAATTCATTTCTCTCACTCATCAGAAGTTTTTGACTTTTGGAAATTTCATCACTCCCAAATGCTCTGCCCTCACAAATTTGGGTTAAACATTTCTATCATTCTCAAAAAAGTTTTATAGTCTAGCTCTAGTTCGGAATACAATCTAGGTCTAACATAACTTGACTTCTTAAACAGTCAAAGCTGGACAGAAGAAAAGCATGTTCACAGGAATGCTGGCAGATATACTTCCAGTTCTAGCCAGAAAACAGTCTTTTCTCACATTATTTCAGCATGTCCAGTTCAATCCAGGTCAGAAACCAGAGATGCCAAACATTCGCCTGTGTTTCTGGCCCTTCAGAAATCAGCAAACCATTGGGTGGCTGAGAATATATTTATTTAAGCACGATCCTCCTTTAAAACCATTTACCCTGCCTGGTAGAAGCTGTGGGAACTATTGATCTCACAGAGAATGATTCTGTCATGTAACAATCCAAGTTTTTTGTTTTTCTGTGTGTTTTCATGTTTTGTTTTATTTTCTGGAGTTAGTAAGAATTCCACTGTATCAATAACTTTTGTTTTATTTTCTGGAGTTAGTAAGAATTCCACTATATCATTAACTTTAAAATTTATATTTATTTTAATTATTAGTCAAAACCAAACACAAATATTTAGCTTCTTGATTCAGCTTGATTTAGCTCTTGATTTGGATTCTTGATAAGCATATTGGTTGAAAGAGAAGGATACATGTGCTTTAAACAAAAATAAAAAACTTTTTAAGTCATGTTAGGTATTTGACTCTCCAAAATAACAAACAGAATAAAAGATGCTGTGAATGTTGTGGTTCTAGTTGACAATGAGTACTTTCTTGTCTTAGAATTAATGAGATTTTTGGCTATATTTATATAGACTAAAAATTAAAAAATTCTTACAGAAAAAATATACTCTTTACACAAAATTTATGCAATGAATGACAATAGGTTTTCTTCTACAGACATATCTAGGCCCATATTATAATAGAAAACATGAAGATCCATATATGAAAGTTTCTAAGAGTCTAACCTAGGTTTTAAAGTATATAGTTTCCAGTTTCCTTCATACTTGTGTAATTCTTCTCTTTCAAACCAAGAAAACTGGTTTTTAGTAATATATATTGTTTATGGAACGGTACTTAGGTGTTTTACAAAGTTTGAACAAAAATAGAATAACCAAGAAGAATGCCAGGGATGTCTGGTTGCACTAGCAGTGATAATTTCAGCCAGGTGAGTGAGCAGTGGTGTTTGAAGGACTGTCCCTCTGGTGTGCCATCGTTAATGTGACTCTGAGCCTGTTCTCTCCAGGGCTCTTGGTTGAAGTTCTTGAAGAAGAGTATCTGATTGATCACTGGCCTGAGGCAGGAGGAATATGGACTTAGTACTTACTGTATAATTTAACTGCATATGTTAATTTTACTGATGTGCTACAAATCAGATGCTCACATTAGGGGAAAAAGAAACCCCAAGAGTATATCAAAATAGGATCACAGCAAGACTGGCAATATCCGACTGTAACCCACATACAAAAAAAACTATACTATTTATTAGTTGAATTAATGTCTTATCAATTTGATTCTGCATCCATGAGAAGTAAAAGACATCGCTTTATAGATGATACCACTATTGTAGTTGAGGGGCTTCCATGCTTATGAAATGACAACTATTTAGTTAATTCATTAGTCCAATAGCATTTAAAAATTACTGTATTAAGAAAATTGGATTATTTTCTATAAGATCTTATATCCTACAAATAGTTCTCAGAAAAAAGATCATTTAAAGATGGAAACACATTGAGTAGGTAGATGAAAAGATAACATCTCTATTGAAAAAGTATATATTTGAATTTCTTTTCTCCTTTTCTTCTTTCTTTCCTTTCTCTTCCTTGTTTATTTATTTCTTCTTTTTCTAAAATTCCTTATGTCTTATAAAGGAGGTAAAAATTGTTTAGTTAGGCTTTTTTAAGTAAAGAAAACTCAAATCACTCTATACAATATGTTATATACAACATATTTTAGTAAATACTGACTAGTTCTCAAATATTTTTCTTATAGCAACAAACTGTATAGCCCATGTATTATTTTGTGGAGAAAGTATAGAGAACATTTACTTGTAAAAAATTTTCCTTCCTTCTTTATTTTTACGAGTTAAATGACTTGTTACTTTGTAAAGAACCCATATTTTCTTTTTCTTAACTTGAAGACATTGAAAAATAATAGTTTTCCTAATAAAACATTACTTGAAAATTTCATGCACAGATGAATTAAATAATGGTTTCAAGTCTGTTTTAGATACTAGCACCACTAGTCTTTTTCTTTATACACATGTGAGGTTTTGCTTTCTTGGACAACCTAATTCTGAAATAATTTAGTGTAGAAGAAAATCAGTCATGTCAGCATTAGTCTACACATGTAACAACTACTTTAATAAATTGTGAAATATCTCAGAAATTTTATTCTGTACCACATTCTGTTTTAAATTGTAATATTAATGACTTAAAATTGGTCAAGAATCTATTAT